>NC_000006.12:7484242-7635757 GCF_000001405.40 Homo sapiens | reverse complement strand
GGTTTACAGGCATGAGCCACCGTGCCCAGCCACTCAAATAATTTTTAATGTGAAGTTATTTAGATCTATAGGATAGTGGTTAAGATTGCTGACCTTGGAGTGGTTCTGCTGGATGGGCATCCCAGCTACCACTTATTAACCACATGACCTTGGGCAACTTCCTAAGTAGGGTGAAATTGTGATTGCGTCCACCCTCACCTCCATTTCAGCAGACCATCCTTGTGTAGCAGCTAGGTAGTTCGTGTGGGAATAAATTGCCCTCAAACTCCATGGGTAGACTCTAGCTCCATGGGTTTGCAGTGCAATCCCAATCACGATAATCCCCAACCTCATGGGCAGAGTGATGACATCAAGCCTAAACTAATCAGTGCAGGGCATCTCCCAGACCATGTGACTGCAAATCACAGTAAAGCCGGTAGTAGCTGTAGAAGTGACTCTTTCTCCCTAGATGTAGGTGAGGAACTATGTGGTCCTGACAGACAAAGGCAGCCATTTTGTTACCCAACCAGGAAACACCTACCAAAAAATAAAGCTGACCCATAGAAAGAATCAGGCCAGAGTCATTGCTAAGAAACTGAGGCAGAGCCCCAGCCAAACCACACCAGAAACTCACTCTACCTCTGGACTTTTCAATGATGTGAGTAGACAAACCTCTATTCTCATTTAAGAAATTTTGAGTTGAGTTTTCTGTTACTTAAATTTTACCACTCTGTGTCACTGTTTTCTCATATACAATATAGAAATAATACTAGCAATGGGAGGCCAAGGTGGGTGGATCATGAGGTCAGGAGATCGAGACCATCCTGGCTAACGTGGTGAAATCCCATCTCTACTGAAAATACAAAAAATTAGCCGGGCGCGGTGGTGGGTGCCTGTAGTCCCAGCTACTCGGGAGGCTGAGGCAGGAGAATGGCGTGAACCCAGGAGGCGGAGCTTGCAGTGAGCCGAGATGGAGCCACTGCACTCCAGCCTGGGTGACAGAGTGAGACTCTGTCTCAAAAAAAAAAAAAAAAAAAAAAGAAAGAAATAATATTAGCAAGGCAATGATAATACACGTAGAGTTTTTAGATCTGCGCCTGGCACAAAGAAAAGAGCTTAATAAAATAACAAATACACAAACATATAGACAGGACTAAAGCATAACTATTGTTTTATACAACTATAAAATTAAAACAAATTAATATATTAAATTCAAATTAGTACCGGCGTTGAAACCATGTGGCAGTATTTGGTGATTATGTAGTCAGAACATTCAGATACGCTAATATTAATTTTCTTATGTGATATAAATTAAAACAGAAAATATAAAAATCTCACAGAGAACTCATGAGTCTCCTAGAATATATACACTACTGTAACAGAAGCCAAATATGCCAACTCAACACACTGCCAGAACATTCCTACTGAACAGAAAAGCGTAACAAAGGTGATCTGAGACCACTTCTGGGGAAATTAAACCAGTTGAGTTTTTGTTTGTTTTGCTTTCTATCCAGAAATCCTTCACATCAAAATGTTACTATTCAGTACAGAAAAAGTCACAAAAAATAAACGTGAAACAATTAATGGAAGCCTGGCAAGGTGGCTCACACCTGTAATCCCAGCACTTTGGGATGCTGAGGTGGGCAGATCACTTGAGGTCAGGAGTTTGAGCAGCCTGGCCAACATGGTGCAATGCTGTCTCTATTAAAAATTCAAAAAATTAGACGGATGTGGTGGTGCACACCTGTAATCCCAGCTACTTGGGAGGCTGAGGCATGAGAATCCCTTGAACCCAGGGGGCAGAGGTTGCAGTGAGCCTAGATCACGCCGCTGCACTCCAGCCTGGGCAACAGAGCAAGACTCTGTCAAAAACACAATAATAATAATGGAGAGAAAATTCAGTGTCACGCTACCTTTCCTAACAATGGAAAAAGAATCGATAAAATCCTTAAGTTGAGTTCATTACACTAATCTATTTAACACAGTTTTCCTTAGTGAGGATTATTGCCTTAAAAATAAGGCTACTCCTTAAGATTTTTTCATGCAGTTTTATAAGCCATTACCTTCAGAAGGCAACCTGGCAGACACAACCCAGCTAAAGCCAGCTTAACTCAACTAAACAGCCAGGGTGCCAGAGCCAGGAGTCATTCACACTGAGTAAATAATGCTGATTGTGTTTATTTTATTGTCTGTGTGATATATACTGAGGGTCGAACAGCTGGTACATTTTCGTTAAAATATTTTGTATTCTTATCTACAAAGCTGCATTCCACTGTTCTTTTCTTTCCCACAAACAATAGCCGTACTTGTTATGAGGATTCTTATGGTGAATACTCACAGCCAAAGACAATTGCGATATAGATCAGGTTTACATTTGATGGGAGACCAATGTCACCTACACTCCTCTGTCACCATGGTAATGGTGGAGTCATTTGATTCATGGTAATGGAGAAGGAGCATTTGACAGATCAGAGATGCTGACTTGGGTACAAGTAAGATACTGTTTTCTTTTTCTTTTCTTTTTTTTTTTTTAATAGACCTTTGTTCTTGGAAGAGATACTGTTTTGACAGCAGATTTTGGCTTGAGCACAGGCTGTATGTACCAGCAAGATTCAGACCTGCACAGCATGATGGAATGCTAGAGCCCATCCACTTGAAGTCTAGTTGTAGAGAGGCTAAGACTTAGCAAAAAGCACAGACTTAGGCAGACACGTGTAACCTGGATGCTAGTATCTTTCAATTTTGGTGTCTGTGACTCTCCCCTGGAGAGAGGGGAAATGTTGAGAGGAATCCCTCTTCCTGGGTTTGTTTTCCTACAGTGCAATCCCCACAAATGGGTTCCATGAACATGCAACATAACGATGTCTCAATTCTCTGCATACTTCCTGGGTGGCCTCCATGCCTGCTCCAGTTATTTGTTGCTGCATAAATAAATGATCCAAAATGCAATGGCTTGAAACAACAATTACTGCTCACAATTGCGTGGGTCAGGAACTTGGGCAGGACTCGGTTGGCGGATTCTTCTGCTCTCCATGCTATATTGACTGGGGTCACTAAATGGTGTTCAGCTGGAGGCTGGTCTGGGTCTGGAGAGCCTAAGAATGTTTCACTAACAGGCTTGGTGCTTCGATGGAAACATTTGGAAGACTGAGCTGAGCTGGACGCCCCCTTTCTCTCTGTGTGGTCTCAGGGCCTTGCCATGTGGTCTTTTTAAAACAGTACGTGGACTTCTTGGAGTCGTGGCAGCCCAGGACTCCAAGAGACCAGAATGGAAGCTGTCATCCTCTCAAAGCCAAGGCCTGGAACTGCCATAGCACTACTTCCATCACACTCTGTTGCGGAGCTGTCATGGACCAGCCCAGACTCAAGGAGGGGAATGTTGACACTACCTATTGACAGGAGAAGTGCCAAAGAAATGGCATCCATCACAAGGCCCTCCCACTGAGGATGAGCACAGACCTGGAGCCCGGATGAAGATGGAGGCACAAGAGAACGAGAATTCAAAGTTCTCGTGAGTGGACTGCAAGCTGCACTCAGATCCTGCTCCCGAGAAGCTTGGGGTGGTTGGCCTCAGCCTAGAAAGGATTTTCCACCAAACATCTGAAGCAGAGGCCATGTGTTAGAAGTCACGTTCTTTTATGTACCTCCATGGGACACCTTTAACGACGGCCAGGTTCCTATCCTTCCGCAGTTTCTGTCATTCTCCACCACTCATCCAAACCTCCTTCAAGTTAAACAGATCAAGAACCTCTCTGAGAATCTCTCACATGTTTAAAGGCTTAACCAATCAAACAGGTCTCTACCATCTTCTAAAGCATTTCAAAATTTTTCAAATAAGATGTAATGAGGTCTTTTCAGAAAGGCAGATTTTTTGATCACCAAAAAAGAAGAAGGAACTTTATGTTTTAAAAAGTATAAATACTTGGTCAGCTTCTGCAGAGAGCTTCAAAGGAAGAATGTTATGTCTGAACCAGAACGTGAACATAAAACCTGAAAAGATAACACAGTAATGCTTGCTTGGCAATCCCATCTTCCCGATGGAAATGCAAACAGGCAAAGGCGGGGACTTGTTTTCAAAATGGATTGTAAACACTAGGCCCTGCCGACATGCTAATTTGAAGATTATTTTATTACTGTGTACTTTTCAAGGCTAAATTGGAAACATCTGTCTTTCTGAGACTTAACTGGAGAAAGGTTACAAGTGAGGATTGAGATACAACTGAGGAACATCCATTTCAAGGGCTTCCGGGATATAGGAAGCATTTTCTGCTGTGTATCTGCCCCATTATTCCACAAACCATCAATAAGAATATATTATGAGTATATAAGGCACCCAGACTCCTCTTTATAAAACGTAAGTCCATTCTTTAGGTTACCTTCCCCTCCTACCCAAGAAAAAGCATAGGAAACTAGAAAACCCCAGTCTTCACTGGCCTAGGTGCTCACATTAATCAAGTTCGATTGGCTCCACATCTAGAAGCTCAGAGTCTGCGCTTGAATAATCACCTTGAATTACAAGCAAGCCTGTCTTTCCCCAGAATCCTCTCAGTGGTCCCCAAACTCCCCACAGGGATTCTCACCAGGTTGTTCTGAGCCTTTCTTTCTAGTGTCCCAAGCAGTTCACCTACAGTGAGGGTTGCTGCCAACAGCTCTCCAGGCCCTGTTTCGGGGTCCACCAGCTTCTCTCTGACCTTCTGCCCCACTGACTGTTATTTCTCTGCCCTCTCATTGTTGCCTCCCCCGGCCCAATTAACTTAGGCCCCTCCCCTCCTTATACCCACCAGCCTGCTATACCTCCAGCCTCCACAGCGCTCCTCCTCGGACCTATGGAAGGTGCTTCCTGATCTGCATGGCCAGCTCTTTCAGAGGGGTTCCCCACGCCAGAGCTGTTGAGCAATTAGGTTGGATATGATTGCTTTCTTTCTGTGAAAATCCTCTATTTCCCAGCACTCACAGGTCCAGGGTGGGCTGCTAGAGAAGAGCTGCTGGGTTGGTCCAGCACAGCCTCACCCCATACTTGGAACAATTGCACCTGGTTCCACTAAACTGAGCTATTCATCCTGCCAATTCTTCCAGCCTTCTTTCTTGTCTGTTGTTTTGTGTGTGGGTTTTTTTTTTTTTTTCAATAGCCAACGTATCTTCTCTTGAAATATAGCTTCATTTAGGAACCCTACTTGACAGTCAAGAATGGCTATTAGACTCAGGTAAGAGGATCCACTGCCCTGAGCCCCATGATTTAAGGGCCCTTCTCTGGCTTTCTAGACATGCTCCATCTCACAGGGTGATGAGTCCATAAGACTAAGGAAACATGCCCCCTCAGAGGCCATGATCTTCTATGCTCTGGGTACCCAGAACCCTGGGATCCTTGCCCAGATGGCCCCAAGACCACTTCCAGTTGTGGATGGTCATTTTCTCCTCTTGTCTTCACAGCAGTGGAAACAGCAAGAGAGCTCCCTGGGGCCTCTTTTATACGGGCACTAATCCCATTCATGAGGGGTCCACCCTCATGACCTAATCATCTTCCAAAGGCCCCACCTCCTCATGCCATCACCTTGGAAATTAGAATTTCAACATATGAATTTTGGAAGGACACAACAGTACATTATAAATTTCTCAAAACTGTTCCATGACTCTTGGGTTCCTCAACCACATGGAGAGTGGAAGGGCAGGGGGTGCTGACAAAGGGGGATGTATAGAGAGTTCTCCACGTGCTGTCTGTCTACCCCTCCCTCACTGGGGTAGGATGGGGATGCTTACCTCTTGCCTCAAGCCTAAAGAATGGAGTAGTGGGATCACTTAGAAAGCATTTAGTGTGTCCCTTGTAGTTTGGGGGACCCAAAGGACTGGTGTCTGACTTGCATTGTCTAAAGCGAGCAGGGTTAGTTCCTGAGCTGTGGGCAGAGGCAAGGAGAGGTTGCCACACTGGCTTGGCCTGAGAGCCCTGAACTTGACATAGCAAAGGATGTGTGATGGGCAGAGGAGGGGCCATGGGTGAGATAAGGCTGGGAGGTGCTGTCTTAGATCCTGCCCCAAAAAGGCTGCTCTACAGGGGCAAGAAGACCCCAAAACAAGAGTCCAGAGGGGAGTAGCAGATGCCCAGGGGCTGTGAAGGGGCTACAACTTTGTCAAGAGAATGAAGGTGAGGGATCCACGTTAATGGGGGTTCTCCCAAGAACCCACAAAAGAACCCTCAAGAGAAATACTCAGCTTTAAACATCTGCCAAGTCTGGAGCACACCAATGCTACATCCTTGAGTCACTACCAGTGAAGATGACCAGAAAAGCCACAATCCTGCCTGAGTATTAATCCAGGGCCAGGGCAGGGACCAGCTCACCACAAGGAGCCATGGGACACAAAAGCAACCTGTTTTCTGCTTACCCTCTCACAATGATAAGGGATTATATGGGATTATAGATGATGTTAAATTTAAATTACGTACATTTTTAATCAATTTTTAGCACTTACTACGCACAAGGCACTGTTTGTTTTATGTCTTTTTTCTGAAATTTTTAAGTTAATTTTAGAGATGCAGAAAAGGAAGCCCACGGAAGGATAGCTGTCTACGCCTGTCCCTTTGTCAAGCCAGAAGCGAGGCGAGAATCCGAGTATCCAGAGTGAGCATTTGGCGTCAACCAGCTCTCCATGGCCTCATCCAAAAAACACAGCTGCATAAGGATGATGTGCTAGAGCAAGACCTACTGGAAACAGCCCTTAAGTATTAACACATGCTACATAAAATACACAACTTGAGCTTTGCAGACTCTATTGACCCAAGAATCACGTATTTACCAGGGCAGCATCCAACCATACGAAAGAGCGATGCTCACACCGTAAGGTTCTTTCTTCTCTGTGATACGTTGTACATATTGTCATATTAGTCAGGTAATTTACAGATTAAAAGACATCCCACTCACAGACCCCCTGCCCTTAAAATACATATAGTAGTCCTGCATTCAAGGGCTTAGATATTAAAGAATGATCCCAAGTGTTCATGCTTCTGTCTCCAGCCTCATCTTTCCAGACTGACCTTGTAATAGCCACACACCCACACACTCTCTCTCTCTCCCTCCGTTACCTCCCCTTTCCCTCTCTTCACTCCCCACTTCCCTGCCTTCCATGAGTCAGTCACAGTCAGTTTTTCTGTTTCTCCATCTCTCTTTGGCTTCTGTACTTTCTCCTACCACCATTCTTAGTCACCAGGAAAACTCCTTAAGCCCCAAGTCAGAGTTAGGTATTATACAAGGCCCTGCATACATTTCAATTGTCTTATTTTTTATTTATTTATTTTTTTTGAGACGGAGTCTCGCTGTGTTGCCCAGGCTGGAGTGCAGTGGTGCGATCTTGGCTCACTGCAAGCTCCGCCACCCGGGCTCATGCCATTCTCCTGCCTCAGCCTCCTGAGTAGCTGGGACTACAGGCACCTGCCACCACCCCCGGCTAATTTTTTGTATTTTTAGTAGAGATGGGGTTTCACCGTGTTAGCCAGGATGCTCTCGATCTCCTGACCTCGTGAACTGCCTGCCTCGGCCTTCCAAAGTGCTGAGATTACAGGCGTGAGGCACCGTGCCCGGCCTCAATTGTCTATTTTTTGTGTGTATGTCCAAACTCTATGTTCCATGAAAGGAATTTGCCTTCCATTCATGTGCTTAACTAATAAATATTGAGTACTTTCTCTGTGCCAGCCTCAACTCTGAGTAAGACATCACTAGCACAATATAGGTACTTCCTAAAAACTGATTGACTGGATGGATGGATGGAATGGATGGATGGATGGATGGATGGATGGATGGATGGATGGATAAAGTGTGGCAGTTAGAAATGTGTTCAACTGCGAGCAAAAGAAAACCTAAACGGTGGCTTCAGTAAATAGGGAATTTATTTGAATCACACAACAAGAAGTCACAAGTAGGCTGCCCAAGGTTGGGAGTGGCTGCACAAGGCTATCAGGGGCTTCTGTCTTCCCGTTCTCCATCCTTAGTGTGTTTTGTGAGTTGAATTGCGTCCTCCAAAAAGATTATGTTTGAGTTCTAACCCCTGGTACCTGTAAATATGATCTTATTTGGAAATAAGGTCTTTGCAGATGTAATTAAGTTAAGATGAGGTCATACTGGAGTCAGGTAGATTCTAAATCTATATGACTAATGCCTTTTATAAGAACAAGAGAGATACAGACACAGGGAGAAAGCCACGTGACAAAGGAGGCACAGACTGGAGCAATGAGTGATGTATCTCCAAGCCAAGGATTGCTGGCAGCACCAGGAGCTGGGGAGAACACTGCAAGAAAGCATCCTCCTCTAGAGTCTCCAGAGACAGCATGCCCCTGCGATGCCTTGATTTCAGACTTCCAGCCTCCCGAGTAGCTGGGACTACAGGCGCCCACCACCACGCCTGGCTAATTTTTTGTATTTTTAGTAGAGACAAGGTTTCACCGTGTTAGTCAGGATGATCTTGATCTCCTGACCTCGTGATCCACCTGCCTCGGCCTCCCAAAGTGCTGGGATTACAGGCGTGAGCCACTGCGTGCGGCCCATAAACTTCTACCATTTCAGGCCACTAGGTTTGTGGCAATTTGTTACAGCAGCCCTACGACACCAAAAGAGTGTGTGATTTTCATCCTCATGGCCACAGGATGGCAACTACATTTCTAGGCATCACATCTGTGGTCTGGTCAGGAGGAAGGGGGAAAGAGCAAACATCTGATGGACCATTCCAGTCTAGTCTGCACCTGGAAGAAGCGTTCTTGGAAGTCCAAGCAGTGACATCAATGTACATCTCATGGACCAGGACTGGGTCATACAGCCACCATTTAGTTGCAAGGGAGTCTGGGAAAGTGGATATTTTTGTTTTCAAATCTCTAGGCTGGGCACGGTGCCTCACGCCTATAATCCCAGCATTTTCGGAGGCTGAGTGGGGTGGATCACCTGAGGTCAGGAGTTTGAGACCAGTCTGGCCAACACGGCAAAACCCCATCTCTACTAAAAATACAAAAATTAGCCAGCCAGGTGTGGTGGCACATGCCTGTAGTCCAAGCTACTTGGGAGGCCGAGGCAGGTGAATCGCTTGAACCCAGGAGGCGGAGGTTGCAGTGAGCCAAGATTGCACCATTGCACTGCAACCTGGGCAACAAAGAGTGAAACTACTTCTTGGGAAAAAAAAAACAAAATAAAACAAAAAAACACCTCTATAGTTGTAGAGTTGTATAGTTGAGGAAAGCAAGGGGGATTGTAAATGACCTTGGGTTTGCCAATCCACAATGGCATAGCTATACTAAGCATGTCATTGCCTGCTTGGGCACTAGTGTTAATACACCTCCCAGATGAGAAACATCCCTCTTTCCTCTCTCATCCCTATGACTGAGGCTTAATCCAACCAAAGAGTACTGATGGAGAAAGAGAGCTGCCAGCCCACCGCTCGCCCAGCTGGGCCACTTCCCCAGCCACCCAGGTTTTCCTCCCTGCACTCTGCTATCCATCCCTGGGTAAAACATATAAACAATCATTGAGCCTCAAATGACACCATTCGTAGACCAGGTCAGGCATGCCTATAACCCCTTCGTGTTTCATTTGCACATCTTAAAAATTATGTAGTAATACAGGCTGGGCACAGTGGTTCATGCCTGTAATCCCAACACTTCGGAAGGCCAAGGCAGGTGGATCACCTGAGCTCAGGTTCAAGACCCACCTGGGCAATATGGCAAAACCCCATCTCCACTAAAAAATATAAAAAATTAGCCATGTGTGGTGGCACATGCCTGTAGTCCCAGCTACTCGGGAGGCTGAGGTGGGATAATCACTTGAGCCTGGGAAGCGGAGGTTGCAGTGAGCCAAGATCATGCCACTGTACTCCAGCCTGCGTGGCAGAGTGAGACCATCCCAAAAGAAAAGAAAAGAAGAAAAGGAAGGGAAGGGAAGGGAAGGAAAAAAAGAAAAGAAAAGAAAAGAAGAGAAAAGAAATCTATCTATAGTAATACACATTCTCCTAAAAATTCAACAATCCAAAAATTTATGCAGCAGAAATTAGAAGTCTTTCTATCCCAGCACCCCGCCTCCCCCAGCATCTACCCCCATCACATGCTCCTTAGCAAAGGCAACCACTATTGAGTTTGTGTCTTTATTCCATTTGCTGTCGTCCATGCATTTACACACACACAACCCCCCCCACACACACACCCCCCATAAACCACACATACACAGTTTGCATATTTCAAAAATAGGATTACACTGCCACCCATTTGTTTCCTTTTACAATATGTGTTGTTGTTCCTTGTAAGGATTTTCTATGGGTTATTTAGCCAATCCTACCCTGGGTGTAAGTTGTATAGTAAGAAGTATAGAGCACAGACGCATGCCAGACTGCCTGGGGCACATCACAATTCTGCCTCCTGCTGTTTGAGTGACCCTGAATAAACCGCTCTGTTCTGTGCTTTGGGTCCTTTGTCTGCATACTAAGGGTAATAAAAGTACTTTCTCACAGGGTTGTCATGGAGGATTGAGCTCATTTATGTAAAGTGCTTAGAAAAGTGCCCACCCATAGAAGGCCTTATGCAAGTATCAGCTATGAATAGTGTCAACCAAAATAACAAACAGCAGCTCCTGAAAAGAAAAGATGTTTATTTGGGAGTAAAGCACTGCAATAGGAATATGTGTGCCATAGTAAAACATGTGTGTATTCAGGGAGGTAAAGGAAGACAAAGATTTTTAAAGGGAAAAAATGAGGAAGATTACATAATTGTTTTCAGTAATTATCCTTGGCCACAAAGATCAACAGCAAGGATGATACCAGTCTGTGGTTGGACAGGCAGTTGCTGGGCAGATGTCCTTGAGGAAGTATTTTTTGTATAGGGTTGTGATGGCCTTTGTGCAAGAGAACTTTATCCAAGAAGCTTTGTGGTTTTTTCCGTCTTTATTGTGATCAGGTATACAACCATGAAAACCCTCTCTTCATGGCCTTCCTCAGCTCTATTTGTTGAAGTTATCTTAACATTAGTGACTTCATTTTGATTATGACAACTTTCACAATAGTAATACAATATTTCCTATTTTTGCTATTATAATATGCTAACAACTTGTAAATAGTTCTGTGTGAGTATTTCTAGGGGATACATTCCTAATTCTAGTAGTGAAGTCAAAGGACACACACATATGGGTGAAGTGGTGTTTGATACTTTATTTTGCCCTTACCTGATTACCGGTAGGAGTGGGTATCTTTTCACATGTTTGTTAACCGCGCTCCAGTCCTTCTCCCTTTTTCCTCTTCTGTGAATCCACCAACTATGGTTGTGGCCCATTTTGCCTCCAGGTTACTTTTCTTTTTCTTGACTCGTATCGCTTTCTCTGTATCACGGCTATTAACCGCTCTGTGATTATATCTGTTATACATATTTTCACCCAGGGTGTTGTAGCCTATTAGTTCATCATGCAAAAGTATTAACATTTTACTAATCAATTCTCACAGTCTTTTCCTCTGGCATTTTGTGTCTTGCTTATAAGAAGGTTTTTTTCTACACCAACATTATGGAAAACAGTCCTCATTATCCAAGTATACTCGGTACCAAGGAAAGATGGCTTAGAGTGAGCTCCATTAAAAGGGGTAAAATGTTTTCATAACAAATAATTTTTAAAAAGAGTTTTGGGTTGAAATAATCAAAAAAGAGTTTTGGTTGAAATTTTATGGGGGACATGAAATTAAATGTGTTTTAATCCTATATCTAACAAAATTTTTGTTATAATTTCAACCATATACTAATTTTCAAAATGAACAAGAAGTAAATCAGACTTTTTCAAAAGAAGGTAATATTTCTGGTAAAATTTTATGATTGTGTAAGATCATTGCCTTTACTTTTTACAGCACGGTCATTTTAACAGCAACAAAAAAAATTTGCTTTATGAGTTCTCCCGAGGGTCTCTCTGCATCTTTTGATGTTCAAATCATCCCCTTTTCAAGAATCCAACCTGATTTTTTGGTCAGCTTTCTCTTTTTCATTTCTCAACTTGTCTCTCCCTCTTCCGGAGCCTCATTTGCATCATGACAGCTTTGCAGGGGGGTTGAACAGTGATCCATCATCATTTTCATCAACTTCATGAAAAACCCCTACCTGTTTTGCTAGATGGACCTTGTCATTATGCAGTCCCTGTGTTCTGGCATCATGGCATTGAGTGTTTACAACACCAGACTGTCATCAGAGATATTTGGCATCTGGGACACACGTTGTTTGAGCAGGGGAAGAATTTTTTTTTTTTTTTTTTTTTTTGTGATGGAGTCTCATTTTGTCTCCCAGGCTGGAGCGCAGTGGCACAATCTCGACTCACTGCAGCCTTCACTTCCCAGGTTCAAGTGATTCTCTGCCTCTGCCTCCTGTGTAGCTGGGATTACAGGCGTATGCCACGATGCCCGGCTAATTTTTGTATTTTTAGTAGAAATGGGGTTTCATCATGTTGGCCAGGCTGGTCTCGAACTCCTGGCCTCAAGTGATCCACCCACCTCTGCCTCCCAAAGTGTTGGGATTACAGGCATGAGCCACCATGCCTGGCCGAGCAGGGGAAGATTTTATTTGTGGTCATTAAATATTTTCATGATGTGTCTATTTTTGTTTTTGTGTAACTAACTCTATAACTTCAGGAACTCAGAAAATGAGTAGCAGGATAGTGAGGGCTCCTGGAGGCTACCATTCCATTTAATTCTCCCAATATTGAGGATGTCTGCCCAGCATCATTCTAGGCATAAGTAAGGACCCTTGTCAGCGGCATTCCCTTCACCTGAAGCACATGCTTCTTTTCCTATTGCAGGAACTGCACACATTGACCGACTTCCCCACCCCACCCCAACCCACTCACACACATACCACCACTGCCACCCACTGTTTTTCTTCTAATAATTCCATAACAACCTTGAGAACTTATTTCCGAAAACACTGGGGATAAACCTAGTTGGGGATAAACCCAAACTTAATATCTGTGAGAAAGTAAAATCTTGGTCAGAGCACAAATTTAGATGTGAATGACATTATGAATGAATGGGCTTCATTCTCTCACTTGACAAATTGGGGGATGGGGCCCACACGGAGAAGAAAGTGAACCCCTGCCTTCTTCCAGCTCTAGCATCTGTACTTCAGCGACTGATTACCTTGAGTCAGGGACTAACTCAGGTTAGACCAAGTTCCCAGGTTATTCCACGTTAAACAGCTGTGCCTGAGTCTCGGCTCATGCTTGGCACCATAGAGAAGGGAAAAAGCTGGCAAGGCCTTGGCCCAGGCTCTCAAGGGTCTTACTGTCTAGTTGTGGGGATAATAAGTAACATCACAACAAATGTAGGAAGGATCATTTGGAAGCGTATTGGGGACAGGCCATGTGGAGTGGGGCAGTGGACTTCACTCTAGGTTCCTCAGAACCCAGGGAGCTCCATGGAGTTTCCTTTGGTGTCACCATGAGAAGGACCAGGCTCTAGGCTGACCCCCACCCACCCAAACTTAAACTGCAGCAACTGTTTTCATCAGGCTTATGTGTTAGATGCTCTTGAAGGTGATTTGAAGAAAATATCCTGTTTTTAAATACTGAAAAGCAGTGACCTAGAGCAGAGCTCATCAAATGGCAGCCTGGGGGCCAAATCTTGCTCATCACCTCTTTCGGTAAATGAAATGCCATGGTGCCCAGCCGCACACCTTCATTTACCAACTGTCTCTGGCTGCTTTGTGCTACAAAAGTGGAGTCAAGTCATTGCCACAGAAACTGTATGGCCCACAAAGCTTAAGATATTTACCCTTTGATCTTTCACAGAAAAAGCTTGCCAACCCCTGATTCAGAGAAAAGACATATGAACTTGGACGAGCTCAAACACTGGTCCATCCATGGAGGTGGTGAGTCATGGTTCAGAAGCACGGCAAGGCCAATGGCCAAAAACTTCACCCAACTTTCACCCTTAAAGTTTCATTCCCTCAGTCACCTATTCAAATGCAATTATTGATAACCTATTCTCTACCTGCTCCAGGAATGCTGGAGAAGTAGGCTACTCTCGTCTTTCCTTTCTATCTGCGTTCTTTCTCATAGATGATTTACTATGGGGTAATGAAATTTATGCTTGGAGTTCCTTTCAAGGTCTGATACCTAATTATTTTCCCACTCTCTATCACCTAGTTTCTGTCACTCCAGCTTCCGTTATCCAGGCTGGAGTACAGTGGTACCATAATGGTTCACTTAAGCCTCAACCTCCCAGGCTCAAGCAATCCTCCCACTTCAGCCTCCCAAGCAGTTGAGATTACAGGCACACACCACCACATCTGGCTAATTAAAAAAAATGTTTTTTTTTTGTAGAGACAGGGTCTCCCTATGTTGCCCAGTCTGGTCTTGAATTCCTGGCCTCAAGCAATCCTTCCGCCTTAGCCTCCAAAAATGCTGGGATTACAGGTGTGAGCCATTGCACCCAGACCCTAATTTTGTATTATTTTCTTAAAAAGAGGGCCCCCCAAAAATGGAATCTGCCCCCAATTCTATTTAAGATGTCCAAGTAGGACCTGCCCTTGTCCAGCATAGCCTATTGCCTTTAGACCACCCGAATTGAAGGACAATGAGCTCCCCACCTCTAGCCTCCATGTGGTAGCCCCCTCCCTGCCAGCCAGGGCCTCTGATCATGGAAGGGGATCTTTTCCCAGCTCTGACACCTGCAGCTAGCTAAGTGTGACAGCTAACTTTATGTGTCAATTTTGCTAGGCCATAGTACCCAGATGTGTAGTCAAAACTTATTCTTTATATTTCTGTGAGGGTGTTTGGGGACGAGATCAGCATTTTTTTCCTGCCTTAGGTTTATTCACACAAATAGCACAGGAGGACACCAGCCCCATGCAGACAGCAGCCCGGGGGTCACACCAGTCCTTCTGTCCTCACATTGGCAGATGAAGCTCTCTACTCCAGAGCCTTCATGGGGGCCTGGGCACCTTTGGAAGCCTGAGCAGGAGCTAGAACTGAAGCTGGAGCTGCAGCTGAAGCCGAGGCCTGGGCCTTGGTTTGATCCTTGGCCTTGGCCTTTGGCCAGCAGAGCCTGAGACCCGTGGCAATGTGGGCCCGAGCATGCTTCCCAGCCTTGGGGTGGGCAGTGTAGGCAAATCGAGCTTGCGGCTGGCGCTCTTTGGAACCCTGGGCTGGACTTCCATAGGCTTTGGGGGGCCTTGATAGCCTCAGCTCGCATGTTGTTGTCCTGCATCTTCTCCAGGCCCTTCTCGTTGTGCTTCTAGGCGAAGTGCATGTTCTTCGGGAACTTGGGGTCCATCCCTTTAAGAAATCAATCTTTGTGATCAGGATTTCTTGATGTGTTTCTGTACTATTTTCAGGACTGGTTGTTTGTAGTGTTGTTCTTGAACTTTCCCATGTCTGCACCATAACCCACAGTTCCTGAAGCCAAGATGAACATTTAAATCAGCAGACTTCAGGTAAAGGAGATCTCCTTCCTGGATGTGAGTGGGCCACATCCAATCAGTGGAAGACCTGGACAGAACAAAAAGACTCGTGTCTCCTGAGCAAGAGGGAATTCTGCCAGAAAACGGTCTTTGGACTTCACCTGTAACATCAACTCTTCCCTGGGTCTCCAGCCTGCGGGTCCACCCTGTGGACTTCGAAATTGTCAGCCTCCACAATTGCATGAGCTGATCCCTTGAAATAAATCTCTCTCTCTCTCTCTCTCTCTTTCTCTTTCTCTCTCCACACGCCCTATTGACTCTATTTCTCTGGAAAAACCCTGACAAATACAGTGAGTGAGCCCAGGGCAGAGCCACACAGTTTCAAACTGCGAGAGGACATGAGAAGTCCACATTCAGTCTCCAAGTTGGTCTCACAAGAACCTGAGACTGAGTGAGCACCTGCCTTGCTGTCATTAATACAATCAAGACTTTGTTTTTGTTGGTTTTTTTTATTTTCTTGCTTGTTTGTTTGTTTTTTTGTAGAGAGGAGGTTTTGCCATGTTTCCCAGGCTGAACTCGAACTCCTGGGCTCAAGTGATCCACACACCTCAGCCTCCCAAAGTGCTGGGATTACAAGTGTGAGCCACCGCGCATCCTGCCACAATTAGGACTTTGATCTCCATTTTGGCACCTCTGAATCTTAAACACTTATCACAGTAATGTCAGTGGGGATCTGAAATTCATTGTGACAAAGATGTAAAGGAGAGTGGCCTGTAGAAGTATTTTTCCCAGAGATATTTGGATTTCAAAATGGAACAAAGTGTACTGTGTTTCCTAGTGGCTTTATTTTCCTTCTTTATAGTTGTGCAAATTTGTCACATGTTCTTCACTTAGAAGATATTTTTTGCATTGGAAAATAAAATTTAAGTATAAATTTACTGTGTCTCACCACTTCTTCCTCCCCAAAATCATCATTATTTTCCCTTTGTGTTTGATATTGAGCTGACGGGCATTCTACTCTAAAGCTGAAGTTCAGCCTCCTAGATTCCTGCATGGAATCATTCAACCCGTTTTTCCTGGGTGCCTTCTGTGTTCTAGGCTCCGTAGCAGGTGCTGGGTGCTCTGGAGTCAGGCTGCCTGAGGTCTCATCCCAGTGCTGTGTGAGCTCAGTCAAGTTGCTTAATCTCTCTGTGCGTTGGGTTTTGTTGGTTGGTTTGGGGTTGGGGGTTTTTATGTAGGAGAGAACAAACAATTAAATGAGTTAGCGTGTGAGGCCTGTAGGGCAGCCCTAGCTCCTTGGAGGCACTCAGTACCCATCAGCTCTCATCATCCCAGATGCCCAGAAAGGAACAGCCTTTGTGGCAGGGTGGGAAAGAAGTTTGTGTCTGCCAGTTTCTATTTTCTAAGTGAAGTGGGAAGTGGCCAGGCTGTCAGTTTGAGGAAAGCAAAGAAGACAGGAAGAGGGGAGTTAAAGGTGTGGAGGGGAGTGACTGGGGTCCTTACCCCTTCGTGGCACCAGGTTGGGGTCTTGTGATGCTCTCTAGCCGCACACGGCTAGGAACAGAGAGAAAGGCTTGGAAGAGTCCAGGCTGAGTTGCCCCCGGCTGCTGTGATGGAAGCCATCAGGACAAGGGATATGGCCACAGAGTGGGCGAGGTGACAAACAGAAGATGCAGACAGCAGGAATGCCACACCCCACTTGCTTCTGTAGGAGGCTGCCAGGTTGTTACATGGCCAGCATGAGCCACTTCGCCAGATTAGCATACAAGGAAGGCACTGTCACTCTTATTTTTCATATTGAAACCGACTCAGGCTACAACACACCAGATTCGCAGGAAGTTCAACATCTCCCACTTGTGGCTTGGCACCAACTCTTCGCATTGTCCAAAAACCCTCACGTGCTTATTAGTGTCTCCAAGGCCAGTCCCATCCAGTCACATAAAGCAAAACTCAGCAAATGCCCTCGGGGCTGAAGAAAACCACAGCTACCCCAGAACGAGGCTGCTCCGGAATGAGCTGCCCTGCCAGGCAGTGAGGATTGCAAGAGCTACAATCAAGCACTCTTCTTGTCTAATTCAAAGAGATCATGGGCACTACTGCGGGTTCCAAGACTTAGTGATTCTTTAAGGCAGCAAAATTCCACTTTTTCCAGAATATTTCCACCCAGGAAGTCCCACACTCAGAATAAGCCTGGATCCCCAGGATCCTACTCACAAGCAAGTACCCCAGGCAGAGAGGTGCTCCACCCAGCACTGCCCACAGCCTTTTTCATGTCCATGACAATCTGGGCATCCCATGGAACCCAGGTCACCAGGTTAGCTGTCTGAGGGAGGCCTTGGAGCTTACTTCTGTCAGTAGACCCGCCTCAGCAGGCACTATCTCCAAATGTAGAAGTCTGGATAATGCTCAGCCTCAAAAAGGAGAAGATTGGGGTTTTCATTTCTTTCCTCAAAGGAAGTTCATTATCTCCCTACACTTGAAGGAGGGACCAAAG
Source organism: Homo sapiens (assembly GCF_000001405.40). Lineage (NCBI taxonomy): Eukaryota > Metazoa > Chordata > Mammalia > Primates > Hominidae > Homo > Homo sapiens. The sequence continues at coordinate 7,617,899 of NC_000006.12, read as the reverse complement.
AAAGGGACAGCCTCCTGAAGTCTCCAAAGAGGCCCTGGCCCACCCCTCTAGGACAAAGCTTGCTGCACGTCCACAGAAACAAATGTATTCACCTGATTCTTCCCAGGACAGAGAAAATCTGCCTTGCTGTCTCCGTCCCGACAGAGAAACAATGAGCAATGGCAGCTCCTCTCCATATAAATAAGTCATCAATTAGTTAAAAATTGATTTAAAATACTGTTGCTTTAGTCAACCAGACGTATACAGGTTAGAGAGAATATGTTCCTTTTTTTTCGAAATTGGATCGCCTTGGACACTGGTCCTCATTCATTCATCTGACAAATAGCTGTGGCGCGTCCACCATCTGCCAGGCACTGGGCATCCAGCAGGGAGCAGAGAAACCAAGTCCCTGCGCTTGTGAAACTTACAATCTCATAAGCTATGTTAGGCTACAAAGTGCTACAGGGGAAAACAATGGAAGGGGAAAGGGTGGAGAAAGTACAATTTTAAATAGGAGGGTCTGGAAAGGCGGCTCTGAAAAGATGACTCTGGAATAGAGAACCAGAGGACGTGAAGAACAAGATTTTCAACAGGAGGAAGAGCGAGAACATGAGATGGGACCAAACCTCATGCACCTGGGGAGCAAGGAGTGGATGCAGGATGGGTGAGGGAGGCCACGGTGGGAGGTGAGGTTAGAGCGAGGGGTGGGCACAGGCCATGCGGGCCTTTAGGTCTTGGTGAGAAATCTGGACTTTCCTCTGTGTGAGATGGGGACCCGCTGGAGGGTTCTGAGCAGAGAAGTGACATGGTCTTACCTTCATTATTATAGGACCGTGCAGGCTCCTGGCTCCTACACAGAGAAATAGACAAGATGGGAGACAAGCTGGAAGCATACAGACCCAGAAGAAAGTTTTCTGATTGTCTGGGATGATACTGGCTTTGATTAGGCTGATGGCAAGCGTGGTAGTAAGAAATGGGAAAACACTGAAATCAGTAGAATTTGCCAACGGATTAGAGGCGGATATGAGAAAAAGAGTGAAAGATGAGCCACTGGAAGAATAAAATTGCAATTTACTGAGATGAGAAAAACCAGAGAAAGGCTGTTTAGGATGGGAAGTGGAGAAGAAATAAAAAAATTGCTGTTAAGTGTATTTGCTTTCAGATGCCAATCAGATTGGGTATCCAAGTGGTGGTGTCCAGTCTGGAATTCAGGGGGAAAAGCTGGTGGTGTTTGGATTAGTCAGTACAAAAACGGCTTAGGCGGGGCATGGTGGCTCACGCCTGTAATCCCAGCATTTTGGGAAGCCAAGGCGGGAGGATCACCTGAGGTCGGGAGTTTGAGACCAGCCTGGCCAACGTGGTGAAACCCCATCTCTACTAAAATTACAAAAATTAGCTGGGTGTGGCGGCGGGCGCCTGTAGTCCCAGCTACTTGGGAGGCTGAGGCAGGAGAATCGCTTGAACCTGGGAGGCAGAGGATGCAGTGAGCTGAGATCGGCCACTGCACTCCAGCCTGGGCAACAGAGTGACTCTGTCTCAAAAAAAAAAAAAAAAAGTGGAGGTGGGGGACTTAGGGAGAGAATGCAGACAGAGAAGAGGTGGAAAGAGTGAACTGTGGGCATTACCATGCTTAAAGCTCAGAGGTAAGAGGAGGAATGAGCCACAGATAGTGAGAAGGAACAGCCTGTGAAGTGGAGGGAGAACCGGGAGATAGCAACGCCACCTATGGTTGGGTCAAGGCGAAGACTGAGACTCCCCCATTGGATTTGGCAGTGTGGAAACCATTTCTGGCCTTAGCTGAGAGTTTGAGTGGAGTGCTGGGGCAAATCTGATTGAGAATAGACTCAAGAGATAAGAAAACAGAAAGTGAGGATGACAAGTATAGAAAACTCTTTTGAAGAGGCTTGCCATCAAGGAGAGCAGAAAAGTGGGGTGGTAACTAGAGAAAGGTAGGGCTAAGGGAAGGTCTTTGTTGTTTCTTTGTTTTCAGATATTCTATCAGCAGGTTTGAGTGCTGGTGAGAATGAGTCAATAGAGAGATGACGGTCGGTGATGCAAGATAAAGGGAAATATTATGAACAACATCTTTGAGCAGGTGAGAGGGGAGGGTCTCCAGCACATAAGAAGAGGTGATAATCTTAGATCAAATGCAGAATAATTCATCCATTGTACCAGGTGAGATGAACTGGAAAATTGTCAGGCTTTTGTAAGTTCGCAGAATTTTATGCATGGAAGTTTCTGTTCAACTTTTTGCCATAAGGTGGCAGTAGCCAGCTGTGTATGAACCAAACAACCCTTAGCGAGCACCTTTGGGAAAATGGCAAAGGCTAAAGTCAATTTTGAGTATATGTTTTTAAAGGCATGGCAGGTATTCTGAAGAATGTGCTCCTCATCCTTCCGGCCTCATATTTTTTTTTTTTCTTTTGAGATGGAGTCTCGCTCTGTTCCCCAGGCTGGAGTGCAGTGGTGCAATCTCGGCTCACTGCAACCTCCGCCTCCTTAGTTCAAGTGATTCTCCTGCCTCAGCCTCCCAAGTAGCTGTGATTACAGGCCCGGCCTGGTCTTAAATAGCATCTTCTCAGTCAGTCCTTCCCTGTCTAGCCTCTCCAAGTAGGTCCATAAGGCTTTCTGGAGGAGGTGATAACTGTTCAGACTCCGAAAGCATATGTGGCCATAATGGAGACAGAGGGAAGAGCTCGGGGGAGGAATTCAGACAATTACTTAGGCAACTGTAAGTGGGGCTGGCCTGAGGGCAAAAAGAGGCAGGAAAAGCAATGAGGAGATGGTTGTAGTAGTGTAGGCAAGAGATGTTTGCCACTGGAACTAGGCAGGGTAGTAAGACACTGTGATTTATAATAAACATATATTTGGCCTTTGTCCCATTTTCTGAGCCATAGCTCCCAAACTCCTTGCAATCTCCAGTGATAGGTGTCTTTTTGTATCTAATGAACTGACGGGTGGCTGGGGGCTCCTGGATGGCCTCAGCATGAGGGCTAGTTACCAGGGGAACTGGCAGCATGATGACAGGGTTAGGACCTTCAGCCCTCCCTGTGCCCCATCTCTGAGGAGGGGAGGGGGGCTGAAGGTTGAGTTGATCACCAATGGCCAATGATATCATCGATCATGCTTACTTTTTTTTTTTTTTGAGACAGAGTCTCTCTCTGTTGCCAAGCCTGGAGGGCAGCAGCAATCTTGGTTCACTGAAACCTCCGCCTCCCGGATTCAAGCAATTCTCGTGCTTCAGCCTCCCGAGGAGCTGGGACTACCGGCGCCCACCACCACACCTGACTAATTTTTGTATTTTTAGTAGAGACGGGATTTCACCATGTTGGCCAGGCTGGTCTCGAACTCCTGACCTCAGATGATCCACTCGCCTCAGCCTCCCAAAATGCTGGGATTACAGGCGTGAGCCACCACACCTGGCCCATGCTCACTTATTGAAGCTTCCATAAAAACTTAAAAAGACTGGGTTCAGAGTTTCCTTTTGGGTTGCTGAACACATCTACATTCAGAAGGGGTGGTGCACTCCAACTCCATGGGGACGCAGGGTCCTGTGAGCGGGACCCTTCTCAACCTTGCCTTGTGTATTTCTTCATCTGGCTGTTCATTTGTAGCCTTTAAAATATTCTTTGTAATAAATCGGCAATAGCAAGTAAAGTGTTTGTTCTCCCAAGTTCTATGAGCTGAGCTAGCAAATGATCAAACTGCAAAGGGGATTGTGGGAACCCCCAATTTATAGCCAGTTCATCAGAAGTACCAGGGGCCCAGACTTGCATCTGACTGTATCTGAAGTGGGGATTAGTCTTGTGGGACTGAGCCCTTAACTTGTGGGATCTGATGATAACTCCAGGTAGACAATGTCAGAAATGAGTTAAATTGTAGGATGCCCAGCTGGCGTCCCCCAGAGAAGTGACGAGTGGGGAAAATCCACGCACATCTGGTCACGAAAGTGTTATGTGGTGAGAGTATAGTAAGAGAGAACAGTCCGCTGGCTTTTTCTTACTAAAATAGTAGTATGGAAAGACGGGGTGGGCTCAGTACAGGTTGAGTTTCCCGTATCCGAAATGCTTGAGACCAATTCAGATTTTGGATATTTTTCAAATTAGGGGATATCTGCATATGCAGATTGAGATATCTTGGGAATGAGACCCAAATCTAACATGAAATTCACTTATGTTTCATACATACCGTATATGCATAGCCTGAAGGCAATTTCATATAATATTTCAAATAATATTGTGCATGAAACAAAGTTTTGACTGAGACCTATCACATGAGGTCAGGTGTGGAATTTTCCTCTTAGGCTCAAGAGCATGTCAGCACTCAAAAAGTTTTGGATTTTGGAGTATTTCAGATTTCAGATTTTCAAATTAAGGATACTCAACCTGTACAAGATACTTAGGAGGTAATCTACAGTGGTAATGGAAATGGGGAAATCGAGAATGACTCTCAGGTCCTTTTTGTTTTTGTTTTTGTTTTTTTGTTTTTTTGAGACAGGGTCTCACTCTGTCACCCAGGCTGGAGTGCAGTGGTGCAATCTCAGCTCACTGCAGCCTCAACCTTCTGGGCTCAAGTGATCCTCCTGCCTCAGCCTCCCCAGCTGCTGGGACTACAGGCATGTACCACCATACCTGGCTAATTTTTCATAGAGATGGTGTCTTGCTATGTTGCCCAAGTTGGTCTTGAACTCCTGGGCTCAAGTGATCCTCCAGCCTTGGCCTCTGAAAGTGCTGGGATTACAGCCATGAGCCACTGCACCTCGCCAGCTCTCTGGTCTTTAGCATGATCGAAAAGGAAGATGGTGACGTGAACCAAATGCAGAAAGACAGAGTGAGGAGGCAGAGGTTTGACGGAAGGGTGGTAACTGTAGTTTTGCAGTGTGGAGTCAGAAGTATGTGGACAGCACTAGGAGAAGCTGTGCTATTTTACGCATAGACACGGCGCTTGGAGGAGAGGTCTGGGCTGAAGTCATGGAATTGGTTGTCGGCATAGTTAAAACTAAGAGTGGGTCACAGCTGCTGGGCAGAGCATGCAGAATGAGAGAGAACACCGATCTGAGAATCCAAACCAGTCACAGGAGCCAGAGTAGAAAGGATGAGCTCACATCTGTAATGAATCACAGTAACAGTGGGCATTCAGTACCTGCGACATGTCAGACACTGCATGGGCCAAATCACATTATGCTTGACAATCTTCTGAGGGCATACAGTATGGAGAAGGTATGGAGGGACTAAGAGTCTGCCCAGGGTTACACAGCCTGTATTGTACCTGACTCATCTTACTGCCCTCTTTGATCAGTTATTCTGTCAGTATGTGAAGAATTTATTACGTTAAAGTATTGGTTTTTTAATTGTGTCGGCATTACCAAATAAAGCCCAGGCTCCTGCTTCATCTCTGTATTCCTGACGCTCCCTTTAATTACCTTTCTCATTCTAGACTAGGAGTCATGGCTTGCAGCTGGAGGAACATGGGTTACTAAAGCTCCACAATTACGGGAAATTATCCTCATAAAGAGTACTCAAGTAACTCAAACCCAGATCCCTTAATTGGTGACACAAGATGTGAAACTCCTAAGGAAGGACTCCCCGGAGCCTGCAGCCTTTCTTCATTCACCATTCTCCCCATGGCTGTATGTAGCAAGTACCCCTGCTTTATAATACTAAAATAAAGGACTAAAAGCTAGGTTAGGAATTTATATTCTATTTTAAGGCAGCCTCTTTTTTCTTAGGTGGACTTGTTTTTAAAATGGGAAAGTGACTTGACTTATTCAATAAAGATGAATCTAGCTCAGAGCCCCTTACATCTGGCAAATCTTATTTTTTCTTTCCTGAAAGGGAGCTCTAGAAATTACTGGTCCCAGTCCAAATATCCAAAAGCTATGAGCATTTTCTGTAACACCAAAAACTCCTAAATCTGTGACCACAGCAGGAAGTACAATCACTAATAAAACAAGTGTGGTTTAAAAGAGCGTTAGTTTAATAATTCACACACCTGCAGGATCAATTATAGCAAATGAAAAAGCAAGCTACATAAAAGGAAATTGACTTGTAAACACACTCAAGCAAATATAAGTGGGTTTTATTATTTTTATGCTCAGAATGCAAGAAAGCTTTGCGCCAGAACCGTTAAACATTCATGAACTCACTAAAAAGAAACAGAAAATGCCCTTAGAAGACGGGCGGGGCGAGGGGGAAGACCTATGAACATGTTTATAGAATTAATGTCTGTACTGTAGCATACACAGGTAATTAGAAAATATTCTCAATGCATTTAAGATATTTTCACTAAAGGGTTTGAGATTATCCAATTAGCTGTACTCGAAAGTGGCAAATACTTGAAGATCATTGATTTAATTTAAAATTCTGAGTGCTGAGTTCAGTTTCCTACTGAATATAACCAGTGCCCTGGGCTCTGCATGGCAGTTGACTTGCCAATATCTCAATTAAAGTGACTAGGCACAGTGGCTCACACTTGTAATCCCAGCACTTTAGGAGGCCGAGGCCAGGAGCTTGAGACCAGCTGGAGAACATAGTGAGATCCTGTCTCTACAAAAAAATTTAAAAATACATACTTTTTAGACAGGTGTGGTAGATCACACCTGGTGCCTGGTGGCTCCCAGCATTTTGGGAGGCTGAGGACAGGAGGATCATCTGAGCCCAGGAGTTCAAGACCAGCCTAGGCAACAGAGCAAGACTCCATCTCTAAAAAACTAAAAACATTAGCCAGGTGTAGTGGCACACACCTATAGTTGCAGCTACATGGGAGGCCAGGGCAAGAGGATCGCCTGAGCCTAGGAGTTTGAGGCTGCAGTGAGCTACAGACTGCACCACTGCACTCCAGCCAGTAGATTAGAAATGTTTGTGAGAAGGTACCTTAATGGATGGGCAAGATGGACAGCAGCTATAGTAATTATTCATAGCAGCACTCTAGAAATAAAAACTAGATCTTATGTGGCAGGGCTGTGAAAATGCTTTTGTCAAAATTTAAAATTACAGATTAACACCTATGAGGCTGCAGGCACAGGGGTCACGCTGATGAAGGCATAAACCCTGCTCTCAAGTAGCTCACATCCAGTGAAAGGCTCAAACCACAAACAGGGAAGTACGTGAGATTAATTCGTTCAAGGATCAAACAAATGCCTCTTTTCACCCGATGCCACATTTCATTAAATAGTTTGTAGCAGTGATACTATAAAATGTGAGCTTTAAAGAACTCTGGTAACATTTTCAATCTCTTCCTTTCTCCGTACTCTTCTATTTCCCCCCAATTTCTCCAATCCACTCCTAATTTTCACTTGTATCTTTCTTCTACAAAAAACCTAAATATGCCAATTTTACTCTTCTTCCTTCCAGTTAGTAAAATCAATGAAATCACAATTTGAAACAAAATTATAAGTTGTCACACAATATGAAAAATATGAAATTCCTGATGATTCAAGTAGTTTTGATCTATAAAAGCAGCAATTTCATGATTCATCAGTCACTCCCAAGTCCTTGCTTTTATAATTTTTAAATGTGGATTTTATATATTTAGAAATTAAGTACAATGGCAGCAATATGACTATATATTGGCAAGTAACCTGGTGATTTCCAATTTATAAATCTGAGAGCTGTTTCCCATACCTGAAGCCTAACAGCCAATCTGATCCAAATCCAATCTTTCTGTCACTGTCAGCTACTTATTAAAATAATAAGATTTCATTTCTACTTGGAAACAAAATCTTTAACCTGAGTTTCCAGTATTCAAAATATTGCTATTTAGATGTCGGATGCTTAACATTTCATGCCAAAGTCTCACGTGAATGATCTGACATAAGATAGAACATACTACTCAGCAACAAAAAAAATGCACAACTGACACACAGGGATCAATCTCAAAAATCTGCAGAGAGGAAGAAGGCAAAGTACATACTACAGTATTCTATTTACATGAATTCTACAATGGATAGATCTAATCGGTAACCAAAAGCAAATCTGTGGCTGCCTAGGGCTAGGGGTAGAGGAATTGATTGGGAAAGGGGGTATGAGAATTTTGGGGGCAATGAAAATATTTGTATCTTGATCGTGATAGTGGCTGCACAGAGGTATGAATCTGTCAAAACCCAATAAAATACACACGTAAAAAGGGTGCAATAAATCTAAGTAAATAGTACCTCAATTCAGTTGATTTACAAAACACAACATGACAGTATATTTTAAATTAAATGAAACATTAAGACCTTATTTTTTAAAAAAATTAATGTTATGGATAAAGCTAAAGTTCCCTCTGACCACCCTCCCAATCCTGATTTGCACCCCTAATCTCTCATCTATACCTCCTACTCGCTGTTAGAACTTTGGTATGGATTCCTCTGAACCTTTAAAAATAGATTTACGTACATTATATAGCCATAGAGAATGCATAGTATTGTTTTGTACATATATATAATTTGTATATAACTTTCTACAACTTGCTATTTTCACTGAGCATTATGTTTTTGAGACCAATCCAGGTTAATATGGATCTAGATTATTTCTTTTAACTCCAATACAATAATCTATCCTATGACTACATCATATTTTAATTAGGCCATTCCTCTTCAATATTTAGATTGTTTTTCCCTACTACAATTCACCAGTGTAGTGGTAAACAGTAGTCACCACTGGGGTGAGGACAGAACCGCAGGTGGTGTTCTAAGGGTTATTAGCCTTATTTATAAGATGTAGTTATAAGATGAGAATGTATTCATGTTTAATTTACATATGATAAATATTGACTTAAAGAATTTTGAGATACATATATTAGCAAAACGAACAAAACAACATCAGTTATAGGAAGCAAATCATCTAATAAAATATAAGGAAAACAAAGTTGTAGGGCCTAATAGTGTACTCATGGTTTGAAGCATATTTACTGGAAAATAATAAGCACTAAACAGATCATAAAAAAAATAATAAGCACTAAACAGATCATAAAAACATTCTCCTATGCAAAGGAATTCCAATTAATATATCTGTATATTGGTTATCATGGCGTAAGCATAATTAATATAGGTACAAGTACTTCATTTATATTTTTTGCTTTCTTCTTTTATGACTATGGTGTCTTTCCCCATCCCTGAAATAAAAGAGGTATAAAAAAATGGTTATAAATGATGGACATTTTAATATCAGAGCTTTAAAATAATTCAACAGTAATACACCACTTTCAACAGTAATATGCTACTTTAACATTCTATTTGAAAAGAATTTTCTGGTTATCATTTACATATACTCAAAGTTAATTTTAAAGCAGAATTTCAAAGCGTAATTAAAAAAAAATCACTTTGATTATTCCTATTTCAGTTTCGTCTCTTAGTTTTTTTATTTGTTTGTTTCTGTTTTTTTGAGATGGAGTTTCACTCTTGTTGCCCAGGCTGGAGCGCAAATGGCACGATCTTGGCTCACTGCAACCTTCGCCTCCCGGATTCAAGCGATTCCTGCCTCAGCCTCCCAAGCAGCTGGATTTCAGGCGCGAACCACCACACCTGGCTATTTTTTGTATTTTTAGTAGAGTCAGGGTTTCACCATGTTGACCAGGCTGGTCTCGAACTCCTGACCTCAGGTGATCCACCCGCCTTGGCCTCCCAAAGTGCTGGGATTACAGGCATGAGCCACCACGCCCGGCCTGTCTCTTAGTTTTAATAATGCATTTTTCATACATACTCTTAAAAAAAAAAACACTTTAATTCGAAATGAATGTTTTACTTGTTCTGGTTTACGTCAGATAAACAAAGTCCCTATAATTCAGTCCACCCCAGGGTTGGATATCAAAGATTAGCCTGTTGAGAAGTATTTCTTACTTATATCCAGTTTATCTTCTTTAAATAAAAACTATTTAATGTTTAGATTTTGAGGACTTCTAATGTATTTAAGTCAACAGGGATTGATTAGAGATGTCAAAAATTACTTAAGTAGAAGAAGCACTATAGTTATTATAAAACAGCATATGAATCAAAAAGGATTACTAAGCAAATATTTCATTTGTATAAGAAAAGGACTAAGTCATAGGTAGCTTTAAACCTAATTAACTGAATGATAGTAAGATGAACAAAATTACCAAACCAATACAATAAGCTTTAATTCCTGATTACCAGTGGCCCTGGAGAGACAGGATATTATTTGAGAGCCTAATATTTGAAAGTACTTTGTGTATAAAACTAAGTAAGATACAGACCTTGCCTTCATGGAGCTCACAGTCTAGCAGCGATAATAATAACTATTAAGCTCAAGAACAACTATAAGCTAGGTAGGGTGGCAACAAAATGGAAAAGATGATCAGCTCTGCTTGAACAAGTGAGAAAAAGGCTTCAGGAAATGGCTGAGATGGGTCTTAAAGGATGAGGAGGAGTTTACCAAGTAGGCTTTTAAAAAGAGGTAGGCAGCAGAACACAAAAGTGGAAAGGCATAGATGTGGCACAGTGTGGATGAGGAACTCTAAGTAACTCAGGCTGGCTAGAGGACAAGTTATGCATTTCATGGCGTAGTAGCAAAATACAAGAAGTAGGTAGGAGCCAGGATCCCAGAAGTCTTGAGAGCCATTCAAAGAATGTGAATTTTGCCACTGAAGAGTTCTCACTTTTTTTGAGACAGGGTCTCACTTTGTTGCCCAGGCTGGAGTGCAGGGGTGAGAACACGGCTCACTGCAGCCTCAACCTCTCAGGCTCAAGCAATCTTCCTGCTTCAGCCCCACAAGTGGCTAGGACCACAGGTATGCACCACCACACCCGGCTAATCTTTGTATTCTTTGTAGAGACGAGGTTTTGCCAGGTTGCCCGGGCTGGCCTTGAGCTCCTGAGCTCAAGTGATCACCTGCCTCAGCCTCCCACAGTGTAGGGATTATAGGCATGAGCCACCATGCCAGACCGCCACGGAAGAGTTCTATGAGGTGACTATTCACTCTAGCAGTATACAAGGGAATGGAATCATATGCAGTAAATTTAGAGACAAGTAGAAAAATTAGGAAAATGACCATCATTTCATTAGGAACTGACCAGATGATAAGGAGTGGAAGGAAGTATCTAAAATGACTCCTTGATTTCTGGCTTAGGTTAATAGATGAGAGTCATCTCTTTAACCAGGACAGTAATGCTGGGGAAAGAGGAGCAGATTGAGAAAAAGGTAAGTTTAGTTCTAGACCTGATGAACTTGAGATCCAGGTACATGCCTTGTAAGCAGCTGGACTACAGAAATAGACCTCAAATGATTTACATTTACTAATTCGGTATTAATTCACATCTCTCAAGCTATCAAAATTTTACTAACAAAGGCAAAATTGACTGTCAAAATTTAGATGTTCTCTCTGACCCTACATACCCTTATTTGAGGAATTAGCAGGAAAAAGAAAGAAAGAATAAGAGAAAGAGGAAGGAAGGAATGAGCAGAAGAAAGGGATCTGGGAAAACCGTGTTTAACAGTTAATGTCCTGCCTAGACAATACTTTCATATGTCCTGTTTAGGAAGCAAGCAAGTAAGAGATAAAAAAGGGAAAAAAACATCCAATCACGCATGTAGAGATCTATGTCACTAGAGTGGTGGTTATTTGAACTGAACTATAATGAATGTTAAGAATCATCGTCAATTGTTTACTCTCCTTACTTTAGCTTATTCTTAAAATCTATTTTCTCAGCATGGTCTACAACAGAAGAACCTGTTCTATTTTTAAAAAGTACAGAATTCAACGTTGGATGATGCAGGGTTAGACCCACCTCTCTTTCCTTCTTCTCGACTCACAGTTTTTATCCTTATCTTTGTTTCTTTTTCTTTTATGTGGGCTTCTACTCCTATCCCTTCTATGTCGTGAACACTCAGCATCCAAATAGCTTCCACCAGACTGCCGTGAATCTACTGAAGCTGATCGCCTTTCTTCATTCCTAAAACACAGAAAAGAATGTTAATCAGTTTGTGTTACCACTGGTCTCCAGTATACGTACACAGACACACCAGTCTAAAGTGTAATATTCTATATCAAACCAATGGTAGATATGGTCTAAATATGCACAATCTTATAACCCATATAAAAGGACAAATAAACACAGCTCTTAACCCATTTATGCCTGAGGTTGCAATTTTTTTAATTTTTGCAATGAGACCTTGGCGATGACCTTGAGCAGTAGGACATAAATAACTCCCACATGCTTGGTGTTCCCATAATGGAATACTAGGCATAAATGTTAGTATGTTTTGCTATTTGAATATTTCACTAATATGGCTATCCCCTGAAAACTGTCAAAGGGTAATGTCAGAACAACTCTGGTACAATAACCCTGGGCACTGACAACGAAAAACAAAAAGCATTTTCACGAGTTTACTGTGTGCTATCAAGGGTTTTGGAAATGCTAAAATTTAACAATTATAAGTTAATTGTTATCTGTTATCAAAGAGAGAGTATTTTCACCAATAAAGATAATGACGTACTTTTCGGCATCATCCTCTGCCTTCTCTTGCTCTTCTTGCCAATGATTGCTGAGTTCTTCCATGTGCACATTTATCACATCTCGAATCACCTTGGGAGAGGTAAGCACCGAACTTCAGGTAAGAAAACTGCTCAAAAAATTAAGACTGTAACGCTAGAAAAATCAGTGCTAACAATCAAATATTTACTAAGTGCTATGACATAATTGACTGTGGGACTTGTGCAGTTTAGAGAACACAGAAAAGGCAATGGTCAAACTGGAATATGAATAGTAGATAAAAGTTTTACAGCAATATTAAATTTGAAGTTGCTATAACTGTACTACCTTTATGTGAGAAAATATCTCTGTTCTTAGGAAATACATACTGGGGATAAAGGGTTATGAGGTATGTAATTTAACCCTTAAAGAATTCAGGGGAAAAAAATATGTACAGATCGAGATCGAGAGAGTGAAAAATGTGCAGAGAGAGAGAGAGAGAGTGCCAATGAGAAGCTATGTGGCAAAATGCTAACAATGGGTGATCTGGGTAAAGACAATATGGGAGTTCTTGGTACTATTTTTAGTTTTGCAATTTATCTCTCTATTAGAGCTTATTTACAAATGATTTTTTTAAAACCTTATAATTAAGTCATCTTGACTTAATCATATGACTTAATAAGACAAAATATGAAACATACAGTCACTTCACAGATACTTTCTGAATGACTCTATAAAGAAACTTTCAAATAGGTAAAAACCACTTGAAAGTTTTTCCTTTCCTATTTACCCATGCCACCAAGCACAGGGTTAGTCACTGCAGAGGCAAAGACAAAACTAAAATAGGAGTTTACACTTCCCTCATGATTAAATAGAAAATGTTTTCAGAAAAAAGGTATAGGGGACACGGGGCAATCTCAGAAACACTATTCATTCAGGCCTGACTGCATTTCTCCCCACCTTAAAGAAACTTTCAATGGCTCTCAAAGTAAAATCGAACAATATCCAAACTCCTTAATGAAGCCTTCAGAGCCCTCCAGGATTTTCCTACATAAGATAGAACTTAGCCTCATCTCTCAACAGAGAAGCCCTAAGCTCTAGCCACCCTGGGTTACTAATGAGTCTCTGAAAAACTCCTATACTTCTATCTGCTTTTCAGAATGCTAGTTCTTCCACCCGGAAAATCCTTATCCACCACTTCTCCTCCTCCACTATATTCTCCCATGGAAAACCTAAGATATGCCAAGGTCCAACCTAGCGGAGTGACATGAGTCACACACACCTATCTCAAGTTCCAGCTCTCGCACTTCCCTGGCAGGCCTACAAGCCTCCCTGTCAGCAGCTCTATGTAAGCGCCTTGAAGCCTGCTATTTGCACAGAATCCACCTAGCTCAGGCTCCACCACATAGGCAAGAGTCAATAGCAGACATTCCTTTATTCCTCCTTGCTTCTCCCTTTCCCTCAAATGCTTTTCTCTATGAAGCCCTTGCCAATCTTTTATTTCAATTTTTGAAGCTGGGTGATGGGTACATTCCTTAGACGATGCTATCCACTTTAGTATATGTTTGAATATTTCCACAATAAAATATCAACTATAAAACCGTAAAGAATGCTAGCAGCAACATTTAAGCTTGATTACAAGGGTTATGAGACGAGAGAAGAAATAACTGATGAGCCAAGTATCTTAGGGACTATGAGAATCACCAAGGTAGTATGACAGGGACCCAGGTCTCTACTTGCTAAGTTAAGTCTAAAACACAGATTTTAACTGTAAAAAGAACAGCATAAAATTTAGAGCTAAGCTGTGTGGTACAGAGTATTAGTACAATAAACTAGTGATAGATTAGTCAACTAGCACCTCATGGAAATGGTGGCCCTTAAACTCAACAAGATTTAAAATGGCAAAAACAGAGCATTTCAGGTAAGAAAGTAACAGGTAATAGGGCATGGAGGTAAGAATAATTATATGCAATCAGATATAGTTTAAGAGACATGCTTGACTAAAGCAAAAGAAATGCTTGGGAAAAGGAGGCCAGATTATGGAAGGTCTTTTAAATCAGAGAGAAGTAAGAAATAATACGGGAACAATTAGGGAATCAATGAGGCAATTATTTGTAGAGTCTGGGCAAGGTAATTCACATACCAAAAAAATTCATCAACTCTAACGAGCCATTAAATGGCATCTGAAAATAAGTCTAGACATACACCAAGAGACTAATACATAAATAATGTATATCAAGACATTTCTTAAGTCCAAATATTTACTAGAGTACATAAAAACATGCTTTCTGCCAAAAAAGATAATAGCTAATATTCATGAAGAAATTTGTGTTTGCATACATTCTGTCAGTCAATTCTCATAACAACCCTGCAAAGATTATATTATTATTATTATGAAAAGAAAACATTCAATCTAAAAAGCTCAAATAACTTGCTTAAGTCAAAGAGCCAATGAGAAACAGCAGAATCAAAAGTCAAGGTATGGTCTACCTAAACCCAAACTCATGCTCTTACCATGATACACTACTACTTTCTCACAAGGAGATATCTTTTAAGATTGTACAATTGTTTTATATAAGGTTCTTATACTATGAAAGCCTTTGCTTGCTAAAGGGTGGATCTAGAAGTGATGGAACAGATACAAATCAGGTGTGGCCACCCTGAAGACACTTTCAGAAAATTTCCAAAGAATTGTGGAAATTCATAGAACAGATTTAGAAAATTACCTAAGGGAAATTCTTATCAACAAAGATTATGTAAAACTTACCTCAGTATATGATTTCTTGGTTATGTGAACATTCTTGGCTCTATAGGACTGGCGTCTTCTTTTATAATCTCGTACTTCTGCCAGGATTTCAAGGTAGGATTTTGGACTTTTTCGACTATTGTCTAATGAAAGAATAAAATAAAAGTATTATATCCTTCAAAGCTTTTAAATTCTATGAATTATCAAATAAATACATCACAATCCTATATTTTAACTTGTTTCAAAGTAGCACATAAAAACATTCTAAAAATTGTATATTATTTATATACACGGGCTAAGTTTTATATCATTTCTTCTCTCCAGCCATTAGTTGAACATAAGAGTGCTTAGGTACATAGATTAAAGTAACAGCACAGTTGTAATATTTTCACAGAAAGAAGGTACATTTAATGTAAAAGTCAGAGTAAAACCTCAGGTACTGAGTAAATATCCCTCAGTATCCATGCAGAATTTGTTCAGGAACCCCCAAGGATATCAAAATCCATGGATGCTCAAGTCTCTGATATAAAATGGTGTAGTATTTGTATATAACCTACACACACCCTCCAGTACACTTGAAGTCATCTCTAAATTACTTTCAATACCTAATACAGGCCGGGTACAGTGGCTCACGTTGTAATCCCAGCACTTTGGGAGGCCAAGACAGGAGGATCACTTGAGGCCAGGAGTTTGGGACCAGCCTGGCCAGCGTAGCAAAACCCCATCTCTACTAAAAATACAAAAAGTAGCCAGGTGTGGTGGCACATGTCTGTAATCCCAGCTACTCAGGAGGCTGAGGCACGAGAATTGCTTCAGCTTGGGAGGCAGAGATTGCAACGAACTGAGATCGCGCTACTGCATTCCAGCCCGGGTGACAGAGTAAGACTCAGTCTCAAAAAAACAAAACAAAAAAAACACCAAAAACCTGATACGATGTAAATGCTGCATGAATAGTTGTTAATATATTGTTTATGGAATTATGACAAGAATAAAAAGTCTCTACATGTATAGTACAGAGGCAACCACACACTTTTATTTTTTCCAAATATTTTCAATCCACCGTTGGTCAAATTGATGGATATGGAACCCACAGACACAGAGGGCCAACTTCATGTCAATATTAAATGATACAAAACCATTTTACTCTAACTCAAAGTGGCCCAAGAATTAAATCATCTTAATAACACTCATAGAATAAAATGATAATGAAGAAATGTAAAGCCATGATGTGCATCTCAAACCTTGATTGATTTTGGCAGCCAAGTCTACAAAGAGATCGCTGTCATTTTCAATAATTTGAGAATCAGAGCGCTTTTTCTTTGTCTCCTCAACTACGAAATCATAGAGGGCAAGACGATCAGCTTGAGTTAGATCACAAACAAACCGTTTGTGATTCAAAGGAACTTCAACAGGCAATGAAGAATAAATTCCTAAAGTAAAAATAAAATCACAAGAATAAACAATACATGAAGCATTGTGAACTTAAAATCTAATAATTATCTTTAAACATGTGCTTTAATAATGCAATATTAACACAAACTTTTTTCATAATCCCTAAGTATACAAAATATCAATCTAAGCAATAAATGACAAACAATTCTATCCTGAATGTTATATCCACAAAAAAAAAAAAAATGTATTATGGATGTTTGCTATTCTCTCCAACAATATAAAGACAGATCCCATGGAGGCAGGCAGGAATAATCATAAGAGACAATTTGCTCTAAGAAAGCCTTTTGGGTAACAATTTTTATAGCCATCTACAAAAGTAGGTATCTGTTGATATGCTTTTCCCCATCAAAGTTGGGGGAAAAAATGCTTTTAATAAGTAATATGCATTACAGTCCCTTTGAAAATAAACTATGGAAATATTAAAAACTGTGTAAAAAATATCTTTTTGTATGAGACATCAAGCTAGATGGTCAATATTCAAAATATATCCCACTTGTGCAAGGACTTAGAGCTAGGGGCCACAAAATAATTAAGTAGCAGAAATCCCACACCTCCTCACGCCAGGAAAGCACAGATTAAATTAAACTCATTTTAATTTCCTGAGGAGGAAGCATAGTGGCTTAACCAAATTAATTGAAAAAAGTTAATAGCAGTGCCCCCCGGTAGTTACAGAATTTTCTAAAATCTGCTCATTAGTGAAAAAAAGTAAATACAATACCTTGATATGATGTATTAAACATTGAAGAAAATTTTTGTTTTGAGATTCAAATTTTCTCAAATAAAAAAATGATTGGAACTGTAAAAAAAGCAATTTAAAACAATTCTTTCTAGACTTCATTACTCACTAATGCAAACAAAGAACATGAGCTACTAAAGGAATCCTTTTATTGTTTGCTAACTTATTCTAAAGTAGTAACTGGTTCATAGAACAACATAAAATCAGTAGCTCTTTCCAGATACTTATATTTGATAAAGTCTAACCTCATTAAGTTCCTAGGTAGAGGCAAAAAGAATTCAAATAAGAGCATACTATGAACTAAGCATTACAACAAAAAAGAGGTACTACTTGTCTACATATTAAGAGGAGAGCTGCAGTGAATCTGAGGCCATGGTTTAACACGGCTATACATAACAATATATGGCCATTTTTACTCGTCAAAGGGTTTTGAATTAATGGGGAAAAAAGGGTTCCCTTTCAAGTCAATCAATTTTATTCTAATTATAGTAGGCATTTCATAATACAAAATTATAAAAACAGCTTTGATAAGCCTAATTCCTTTGAATTAGGCTATAAAAATTTGGGAGGAAAACACAGATTAGAAAATAATGATGTATTACAAACAAGCTTCATATAAACCTTTGCCTGTTATTTTTAAACAAAGAAATATAATTTCCTTCTTAAATTATTTTAGCCTTTTCTTCAATTTATTCATCTTAAATTTCTTTATGATGAAGACTGATACTTAAATTCCTTGTAATTCAACCAAAATTCCAATTCAAGACTATAATATGTGACAGGTATTAAGATAAAGTTTAGAAATTTTACTTTTAAAAGGATATCATTTGCAAAAAGGATACTGCATATCTTTAAATAAGGAGTACATTCAGGTTCCTAATTCCTCTTTATACTCACCCCAATTACTGAAAAAGAAAAAGTACAGGAAAGGTTAAGCAACAAACTGCATTCAATTCATTCGGAACATAGATATTTCTGACAACAAAAAGGATAAACATACTTAAATAAACTTACATTTACATAAAATGTAAATTTTCAAAATGCATGTTTTTAAATGATTTAAAGGTACATATGAATGTGCTGTAATTATAATAACTCTAAGACCCTTTGGCTGCCTGTTTTTGCAGGTTTTTTGTGGCAAAATATATATAACATAAAATTTAACATTCTAACCATTTTTTCAGTGTACTGTTCAGAGACATGAAGTGCATTCACGTTGTGCAACCTCTATCCATCTCTAGAACTTTTTCGTCACCCCAAATTGAAACTCTAATCTATTGTTTTAATAATGCCAATTCTCATTCTTGTTACTTTTGTCATCAAAGGGGATCTTAAACATATAACATTCAACATTAAATAGTACTAGTAGGTGTTGTCACAAAGATACAAATTCAGAATTTTAGGGAGAATTCATTCAGAGTCAATTCCTTAACGTTACAGATAAAGAAATTAAGTGTCATAGAAGTAACATGACTTGCCCAAAGTCTCACAAGTGATAGGAACAGACTGGATCTAAAGCCCATCCTATGCTGTCTTTTTAAGTTTCTTTGATAGTACACTGATCTTCATATCATGGCCATGACTCAAACACACTTCACAATACTGAAGTATACAACCTGAATATTTAATATTGAAAGAAAAAGATAAACCACTAAACATAAAATGATTGTTTATGATTGAAATATCTTGGTTAAAAAATTAACCGAAGTAACTATATCTGAAAATAAGTATATAGATTGAATAGCTGTATGAGCTTTCATAAAGTTTAAGATTGAGAATTCTGTACACTGAGTTTAGGCCTGACATGACAGATGAAATGAAAACATACATATAAAACCTTGTCAAAAAACTTACATTGTAGTGTGTAACAAACAAAATACGAATTAGATGGAGAAATGTAAAATTTT
The DNA here is from genome assembly GCF_000001405.40 of Homo sapiens. NCBI lineage: Eukaryota > Metazoa > Chordata > Mammalia > Primates > Hominidae > Homo > Homo sapiens. The sequence goes on along the minus strand of NC_000006.12, from coordinate 7,598,670 downwards.
TCATGTTAGTCATTCTCCCTTAAAAGTAAATACATCAATAAGATATTTAAAGAAAGTCCTGTCCTGAGGGAAAAGATCTTAAAATGTCTAAGACATAAGTGAGCCACAAAAATAATCTGTTGAGAAATTGCATAACTCTACAGAGGATATAAAAAAAAATTTTTTTTTCTTTTTTTGAGACAGAGTCTCACCCTGTCGTCCAGACTGGAGTGCAGTGGCGCCATCTTGGCTCACTGCAACCTCCATCTCCCAGGTTCAAGTGATTCTCCTGCCTCAGCCTCCTGAGTAGCTGGGATTACAGGCACGCACCATAGCGCCTGGCTAATTTTTGTATTTTTAGTAGAGACAGGGTTTCACCATGTTGGCCAGGCTGGTCTTGAACTCCTGGCCTCAGGTGATCTGCCCACCTGGGCCTCCCAAAGTGCTGGGATTACAAGTGGGAGCCACCACACGTGGCCAAAAAAAATTTTTAAAGAAGGTTGAAGATCATATAAAGTTACCGTTGGCCAGGCGCGGTGGCTCCCGCCTGTAATCCCAGCACTTTGGGAGGCCAAGGTGGGCAGATCACAAGGTCAGGAGATCGAGACCATCGTGGCTAACACAGTGAAACCCCGTCTCTACTAAAAAAATACAAGAAAATTAGCCAGGCGTGGTGGCAGGTGCCTGTAGTCCCAGCTACTCGGGACCTGAGGCAGAAGAATGGCGTGAACCCAGGTGGCAGAGCTTGCAGTGAGTAGAGATTGTGCCACTAAACTCCAGCCTGGGCGAGAGAGCAAGATTCCGCCTCAAAAAAAAAAAAAAAAAAGGTTACGGTTAACAATTAAATCTTAATTTAAGATAGTGTAAGAATTCAAAATTAAAGTTCCTCTTAACTATCAAAATAATATAATAGTTCCTCTTAACTATTCATTCAAAGTAATTCTTTGCTTTTGAAAAGAACTAAGCTCAATGTCCAAATCTCCCTTATTACTATTATAAAAATTAAAAAGCAGAACATTTTCTAAATTACTCATATATATAAAACTCATCCATTTCATTATCTTAATATTACTTTCTGTATATTAATTTTCACTTAGACCATAGAAGCTACCAATTTTTGGAGCTAAGGCTTGTTTAGCATCCATTATCTCTGTTCCTCTCAACAACTCTATGAGAGTTTTGTATTACAGATAAGGAAACAAAAACTCAGTTATCATCATTAATATATGGCCAAGCAGCTACTTTTATTTCTTTAAAACAGGTTTACACAAAGCAGAATAAACAATGAACAGCACTGATAGTCACGATTAGTATGCAGAGATATGAAGTTTGTGATATTCTTCCACTTAATCATGAAAGACATCATAAATAAATTTGAGCAATATCTAGAATCCTGGTCCACAAATTTTACTAAATGTAGGGTTTCTAACAGAAAATCAAACAACTCAGTTCAGAGTTTGTGTCAAAATTCAGAACTTAGTTCTGGATCCACTTTGATATTATCTAGCAGAGGTGAGTTACTTCACTTTTGTGTGCCTGTTTCTTCACCTATTATGGAGGGGAAAATATCGTTCAACTTATCACAAGTTTGTTGTGAAAGAGAAATGTAATTCATAAAAGAGCTTTAAAAAAATAACCTTTTAAAAAATAAAAATACGGAGAACCTTTAGAACAAACACACTAGAACTTTATCATGTCTCTATCAGACAGGGTTTTTCTTATCTGTAAAATGCAGACACTGGATTAGATGATCTCCAAGTTCTCTTTCAACTCTAAAATTCAGTAAATCTAACCACTTAAGACTCAAATAAAGTCCTTTAAGTATTATTAACCCTTTCAAAAACCAAAAACCTCAACTTTTTTATGGGTACACTACCAGGGGATATGAGCAGAACCAATAGCAGAGGCCAAAAAAGGCTTGACTAGTCATAGCTCAGTAATCTCTCCGAATAAATAAAATGAGAGTCAACTGTCTCCCTCAAAGAAAAAAACCTGGAATTTCCCTGACAGGGACAAAAGTGGGAACCTCAAAACAAAAAATACAAGAAATGTGCTTCTGGCTGTTGTAGAGAACCCATGTAATATAGACAACTAAGGATAAGATGGTCTTTCTTCTGAAGCCATAGAGCAACTCTGAGAAATCAAGTCCAGATACTGGCTTAGAACAGTATTTGGTAAAGATCCTCAATTTCAATGAGGGAGAAAACCAACCATGACTACAGCCTGGTAAATATAATTCAGCTAGAAAAAAGAATGAGGAAAAAAAGGTAAGTTGTCCAGAGAAAGCTACCTACAGAAGGTTCAAAGAAGACAATGCAGAAATCCTTACAAGAGAAGCTGTTCAGGTTTTGGCTAGATGTCATATCTACATTCATTAGAAATTTAAACTTTTATTAACTCGTTTGTCTATGTGTGTTTTTTTTTTTGAGATGGAGTCTCGCTCTGTTGCCCAGGCTGGAGTGCAATGGTGCAATCTTGGCTCAATGAAACCTCCGCCTCCTGGGTTCAAGCAATTCTTCCTGCCTCGGTCTCCTGAGTAGCTGGGATTACAGGTGCTTGCCACCATGCCCGGCTAATTTTTGCATTTTTTAGTAAAGACAGGGTTTCGCCATGTTGGCCAGGGTGGTCTTGAACTTCTGACCTCAGATGATCCACCTGCCTCGGCCTCCCAAAGTGCTGGGATGACAGGCATGAGCCACCGTGTCTGGCCTATGTCTATGTTTTTGATGGATGAAGTTTTCTTTCAATTTCCTAAAAGCTTATGCTTAAAACTTCTAACCTACTCTCTGCTGAGGTTCCCAGGGAGAAACTCTTTAACCCAGCTCTAAAGCTGGGCATGAAAGGATCTATTAATATGAATCCTCTGAAATTATATGTAAAACTTTTGTGTTTGTACTTTTTTTCTGAGAAGGGGATCCCAAGCATTCATCACCTCAAACCAACTCACTTACTGGGTAGCAAGCAATCTGAGGGTAGCTGTGGAGACTAATCTCTTTTAGCCTAAGCCTTTTCTTTACACTGCATTTCAACACTCTAAAGAGAGGAAATCTCAAGAGTAAAAGAGCCTCACTCAGTGGCATTTATAGATGTTCCTTGACTTACATGGGGTTACATCCCGATAAACCCATCATAAACTGAAAATACCGTTAAGTTGAAAATGCAGCCCAGCGTCTGATAAAAGAATCACTAGTACTTAAAGTCTAAAACCTTGTGATTGTGTATTGTTTTCACAACACCATAAAATTGAAAAAATCCTAAATTAAATCATCATTAAGTTGGGACCATCTGTATTTACTAAATAATAATTTTTTTAATTAGCCACAAGACAATCTCACCTATAAATCGCCAGGTAATTCCAAAGGATGAACCCCTAGCTAAGATAGTGTCTTAGTGAGACTCTGGTGTATCTCAACAGGAAATATCTAACAAATGAAGTTGAAACGAAGCAAATTAGCCCAATGTTAAATGTAAAACTTTACCTTTCCCATGTAACAGTTTTCACAGGTTTTTCTTGAAGAAAATTAGTAACATGCTTATGAGAAAAATAATAATTTCATTCTTTAATTCACTTAAACTGTAATGCCACTTACTTTGATTATAACAATCACTGTCTTTCCCAACTGCAGTTCTAGCTTGTTTAATTATCTGGAATTGTGAGTCCTTATCTGTCAAAAAAAAAAAAATCCATAAATACAATATGAATCATCAGTGACCACAATTAAATTATTAACTGGTTTCTGATCCAAGCCCTTTGGGCACGTGGACAAACCTTCCAGAATCTTAAGAAACATCCACATCCCTGTCTATGAAATCTGAACACAGAATCCTTTCAGATTTATCTACAGCCCAGTAAGTAATCAGACTTCAAGCAGTTCATGCCTATAATTAGGCACGCAGCAGTAGCAGCGACAAATTTTACTGACCAATAATAGCTAACATTCTTGAAGCCTGTGCTGTAATGGTCACAACTCTGTGACCCTCTAGCTGACTCCAGCTAAGTGCCTGACACTATTCTAAGAATATTATATATATATATCACTTAATCTTCGCAAAGTGCTATTATAACCATCTCCATTTTATAAAGAAATTTAGGCAACAAACAGGTTAATTACCTCGCTGAAAGTCACATCTTTCATGATAAAAACAGGAGTTGAATCAGGACATTCTTTTTCCAGAGCCCAAGACTTTAACCTCTATATATGCTGTCAATCCCTGGAACACATGTCCATCTTCAGTCTCATCCTTCAATCTGTGTCACATGCTCAAATTTTTGTTGTAACTGAGAAAGAAGGTGTCTGCTCTACTATACAAAGCTTTGTAAGGTTTTCACTGCCTATTAATACAAGCCTGGTCTCTAAACTTCAGATTATGTGAATTAGTTGCCTTGTACATTAATTAATTCTACATTCTCTTAAGGTACTAAATGTCCTTGTCATAAGCATGCTTATACAATCCATTCTTTTCATAATGCAAAAATGAAAAATCAATATCTACACTAAGATATTTTTAAATTATAATAACTTAATACTTACTCAAAGTAATCGAAGGTATCTTCACATTTTCATAGAAAAACTCAGGATTATACATTTCATCCTGAAAAAAAAGAATCTTACTGTTCTTAAGTATCAGATAATTGACTATTTTAAGACTTGACCTAAACAATAGATTAGTATCACTTAATTATTTCTCACAATAATTTGTGCAATTAGGCAAGTACCAACCAACCCTTCAAGTAAGGGCTATTATTTTGTCAGTGAACCTCACATTGTAACTTCCAAAAATTGTGAATTAATGTGTAAAATGCATGACATATATGTATATATAATATAGTAAATATATGGTACCTCTTCTTCTTTGGTATAGCCCATTTTCCTCAATCTACAAGATGCCATGTGCTTTGCCAAAGATGATTTAGGCATGTGATGATTGGAATCGTATGGACATATCACAACTTCATCCTATAAAAATCAAACAGAAACAAAGAAAATAGGTACATAATATTTAAATAAATAATTACCATTAAATGTTTACCATTTAATTATGTACCAGTACTGTATAGTGCATCCTCTTCTACAGGCCTCTCTCAACCCCCATGTAGTTGTGTATTAAAGAAAAATAAAACTCCTTCAACCCCTAACTCCCTAAATGCCCCTGTCCTCTCTCCACTCCTTCAAAGCCTAACTCTTTGAAAGGTGTATTTACACTCACTGTCTAAACAACCTCACCTCACCTATAACGATTCCTCACTCATTGCCACCATCACCCCACTGAAACCAGTCAATAGGTCACTAATAACCTTGTTACTAAAGCCAAAAACATGTCACTGTCTTGTTTTATCTGAACTCTTGGAAGGTCACACTCCAATTGTCCATCTGTGATTCTGACACACCCCTCATGTTCTTTCTACCTCTCTGGCTTCTTCTACTTGGTCTCCTCTAAATATCCTAAATATCTGTCTTCCTTGCTCTATTTGTCCCCCTTTAGATGTTGGTTTTCATGTAAGTATTAATATAACCACTGACCTTTTGCTGTTTAATATATGCTTACTGAAAGATCTCAAAGCTACAACTCTCACTATACAGTGAGGACTCCCAAAATTTAGATCTTTAAACCTTGTTTCTCTCCAGTACCGTATATTAAAGACACTAAAAGTTCAACACAAACAAAAATAAATTAATTATATTCATCATCTCCCAACCCTCAAATCTATTCCTTTTGTACTTTTCTATTTCAGTGAAAGGTCCCCCTTGCTCAAGCAAGAAACTACTTCTCCCTCATCACCCACGTCCAATCAATCACCTAGTCCTGCCAATTTAACTCCTAAATATTTCTGAAAATCCCTCAACATCCTCCATCCCCACTGCCACTTCCCCAACTCAGGGTATCATCAACTCTCTCCTGGAATACAACACCATCTCCTGACTACGCTCGCTCGCTCTCTCTCACTCTTGCTCTCTCTCTCTGCTTCCAGTCTTGCTGCCCTCCCCTTCAGTTTCCATCCTGTAGCTGGTTTGAATTCCATCTCTGCCACTTACTGGCTGCATGAAACTGGGTGAGGTACTTAATCTCTCTTTGCCTCATTTTCTATTATATAAAATAAAAATAATAGCAGGACCTCTCTCACAAAGTGATTGTGAAGATTTAAAAAAGTATACCAAAGTTTATACACATAAAGGAATTCAAATAGGGCCTGGTACATAGCAAGCATTCAATAAATGTATGCTATTATTTTATTAAAAGGTAAATGTGATTATAATATGCCCTGGCTTAAAATAATTCCATACCTCCCCACTGCCTTCATTAAAAAAAAAAAAAAAAATCTAGACTTTCTAATATGGCTGACAAGGACCTTTAAGATCTGACCTCTACCCACCATCACCATTCTACTCTAACTCTACACTCTATGCTCTAGCTATCCTTAACTACTTGAGGCTTCCCGATCTGGTCACTCCCTGTCTCTGAACTTCTACACATGCTGTTGATGCTTCTTCCCCGCACCCGCCAACCCCCTAGCCAATTCAACTCACTTTTATTTATCAGCTTAGAATTCACTTTGTCCAGGAAGCCTTTGCTGACCACCACTTTGTCCACCACCGCCTACAATAAACTGTACTATAGCAATTCCAACCCCACCCATCACAGACCCATGATAATATAATGGTTCAGTTATCCGTATTACCCCTCATCACCACCAGACAATAAGCTCTGTGAGGACTAGGAACTAGGTGACAACTAGGACTAGGAACTAGGTGACAACTAGGACTAGCTCTGTGAGGACTAGGAACTAGGTGACAACTAGGAACAGATGACAACTAGGACTGTTGTTCACTAAATTTCAGTACTAAAACACCGGCGGAAATCCTAACTGCCATTTACTAGCAGTGTATCCTTCGACAAATTATCACTTCTGTGTTCCTTTCCTCGTCTATAAAATGTGGCCAAAGATACCTACCTCATAGGGTTATTTTGAGTATTAAATGAAGTAATGTAAGTGGCAAACAAAGTGCTATTTAAACGTTAATACAAGGAATCCAATGTTACCGCAATGCTGAGTAAACAATGTATGGAAGGGTCTGGTAAGCCCCACTCAGTGGAATTCCCAGCTTCAAATACCCCTCTAAATGAATATTAAAGATTTTTTAATTTCCTCTGTGCTTTTAATACAATAAACAATGAATGGTATATACAGAAATCAAATATATTTTAAATGCCTCTGAGGAATCAGTCATGTAACTTAAACCCAGGAGAAATTATCACAGCATGGTAAACCCAGAAGTAATAGTAAAGATAATGAATTACCCCACATTGGAGCACTTCCCTTCCTCTCATTCCACCGAAAATACCCCACAAAAAAACAAAAATCACGAATGTTCACTCTAAATACACTTGCCTACATTTTTAAAAAAGCAATTCTAATGTCCACAGGAGTTGCCAGTTACCACCTCTTGGTGACAACCTTTAATAATCCTAGAATTGGTGCTGTCCCAGTCAGAAGTGTCCAATTTTAAGGCACAGAAAGGCGAACTGGCAAACTCCCAGCTCTCCTGACACCGAATCTGGTGCAACTGCGGAATCCGTATGACAGATGACAATGCAAACCGCCAATCCCTCTGCAGCGCTCTGAGACACGTTCACTTATTTTCTAAATAAATACCAAATCTGCCATTCCCTCCTCACTCAACACACCTTCCTGGATTTTGTTTGTTTGTTTTTTGAGACAGGGTCTTGCTCTGTCGCCCAGGCTGGAATGCAGTGGAGCGATCTCGGCTCACTGCAGCCTCGACCTCCTGGGCTCAAGCTATCCTTCCACCCCAGCCTCCCAAATAGCTGGGGCCACAGGCTCACACCACCACACCCGGCTAATTTTTGTACTTTTGGTAGAGAAGAGGTTTCACCATGTTGCCCAGGCTAGTCTGGAACTCCTGGGCTCAAGGGATCCTCCCGCCTTGGCCTCTCAAAGTGCTAGGATTACAGGCGTGCGCCACCGCGCCCGGCCCCCGGTTTTCTTTAAACTCGAAGTTGCGCGGGAGGAGCGCCGCACTGGAGGTCGATGTGGAGCCTTCGGGAGTTCCTCGCGCGCCCCAGCCCGGAACCCAGGGACGTCAGGGTTGCTCCAGGGCCCCCGGCGCCCCTCGGGTCCCAGGCGCCCATCGCGGCTCTGCACACGGACGAGGACTCCTCGCCCTTCCCTCCGCGGCTGCCAGTGCGGATCTCCCTTCTTCCAGAGAAGACCCCGGGCCGATAGTCCCCGAAAGGGCCCCGCGGCCGCGCTCCTCACCTCCGCCGCCTCCTCTTCCCCGGGATCCAGACTATCTAGGTCCCAGCCCAGGGACGCGGTCACCTCCTCCAACGTCCGGCAGCCGCTCTCCACGAACTCGTTCAGCTCCTCCTGCAGCCGCCGCCGCTCCTCCACAGGTGGAGGCTCGCCCTCCATAGCTGCAGCCCACCCGCCAAGAGGAAGCGGCCGAACTGCAGACCGCACGCGCAGGCCTCTGGGAGCTGTGGGCGGGGCCACAGTCGCCACGTGACTTGAACAGCCTATAGGGAAGAGTCCCGGGAAGGGCGGGACTGTTATTTTGAGAGGCGTTTTCCAATCTTTTCTCAGCTCTTGCGTGCATTTGCTCTGGCCTTTCCAGAAAGATATTCGCCCTCCTCGACTTCCTCAGAAAAAACGGCTTATAGCTACAGAAAAGTTTTAAAAATAGTACAATGAGCTTTCGTTTAGCCGTCCTTCAGCTCATTGTTAACATTTTGCCAGGTTTGATTTCTCTCCGTCTCTTCTCTCCACATTCACAGCCCCACCCAATGATTTTTGCTGAATTCTTTGAAAGTAAGTTGCAGATTTTTCACCCCCAAATATGTTAGCATGCATGTTCTAAGAATAAGAACATTTTCCTGTGTAACCGCAATACATGATCAAACCTAAGAAAATTAGTAAGTCCATAAAATCATTTATTATACAGTTCATATTCAAATTTCCCCATTGTCCCCAAAATTATTTCTATAGCAGTTTTATTTTTTCAACTCATAAGCTATAATTAGTTATTGTCTCTTTTAATCCAGATCAGCCTCCTTCACCCTCCTTTTTAAATTATTAAATCATTACATGTTGTGATGAGCCTAGGCCAGTTGTCTTGTAGAATCTCTCTCATTCTGGATTTGTCAGATTTTGTTTCCCTCATGATTAGATTCAGTTTGAGCACTTTTGCAATACTACCTAAGAGATGTTGCCAACTCACGGGGACGCATAACTCAGTTATATTAGTAATGCTAAATTTGATCACTTGGTAAAGGTGGTGGCTACATCTCTTCATTCTAATAGTACATTTTCCTCTTAGGAATTGGTAAGCAATCTGTGGATTATACCTTGAGTCCATAAGAATAACCTGTTCCCCAACTCCTTGATACAGTCCTTCACTGAATCTGTTGTTACATTAGGAGTTATAAGTGATTCCGCAATAGTATCATGCCTTTTATGTTTATTAACTGGCATTCTTTCCACACCTCCATTTTAGTGTTTGCTTCACTATGGGAATCAAGGTGTTTTTAAAGTTATTGATTTAAGGTTTTTTTTTAATTCAATATAATATACTCCTTTAACATCATAATTCTTGTTGATGCTCAAATTGTCCCAAATGTGGCCAGTGGAAGCCACATTAAGCCATCTGTGTCTTTCATGTATCCCTATTAGTCCTTGAATGCTTTCTTGCTTTGATAACACAAGCTTAACTTTGTACATTTCCTACCCAACACCTGGAATTAGCCCTTGTAGTTTCCCCAAATGGTTTCAACTCCTAGAATCTAACCCATTTTATATTACTTTTTAAAATTTTTTCAAGCCCAAGTGTCAAACCTTGGTTTCCTTTTGCACTTTGTTTACCCATGTGAAGGAACTGTGGGGGAATTTTTTGGTGAACAATTATTTCTAAAGGCAAATAGCACGGTTCTCACTTAAAAAAATAGTCATAAGACTATAAATAGGCAGCACCATAAAATACAGAAGTGGCTAGAAGCTGGTAAGAGAGGAGTATGAAGTTAATGTATTCATACTCTGCCTACAGTATCTTTTTTTTTTTTTTTTTGAGACGGAGTCTGGCTCTGCCACCCAGGCTGGAGTGCAGTGGCGCAATCTCAGCTCACTGCAACCTCCATCTCCCGGGTTCAAGCAATTCTTCTGCCACAGCCTCCCGAGTAGCTGGGACTACAGGCACATGCCACCACACCCTGCTAATTTTTCTATTTTTAATAGAGATGGGGTTTCACCATATTGGCCAGGCTGGTCTCGAACTCCTGACCTTGTGATCTGCTCGCCTCAGCCTCCCAAAGTGCTGGGATTACAGACGTGAGCCACCGCGCCCAGCCCGGTATCCTTACTTTTTATTTGCATTTCCATAGTTAGCTGGTTGGTCTGGAAAAATGTGAGACTATTTCTGATGTGACATGACTCCTGATAAAAAGTTCTAGTGTATATTTCCCTGTTTGTATATGTGAACCAAATTAAAACTTAGCCCACGTCAAACATATCCTCTCTTCAGGATACAGCCCCATGTCATCTCAGAGCTTCATGACAACATTGGCACAAGCCTGGAGGGAGTAGGAAAGATTTGTCAATTGACTGTACTCTCTAGTTACTGTTTCAGCCCGAGGAACTGCTCTACACTGATGCTGCTGATCTGTTTTGATATCACTTTCCTGGAGTGGTCTCCAGACTCCTGTTCTAGGCTAGGCCTCTGTTATGGATTGGATTGAGTCCCTCAAAAATGCCTATGTTGAAGTACCAACCCACAATGTGACTGTATAAGGAGATAGAGCCCTAAGAGGTAATTAAAGTTAAATGAGGTCATAAAGGAGGGGTGGGTACTCTAATCAGATAAGACTGATAGCCACCCATGAGCCAGGTTTCACTAGAAACCAGCCCTGCCTGCATCTTGAGCTTGTACTTTTAGCTTCCAGAACTGTGAGAAAATACACTTCCGTTTAAGCCGCTCACAGTCTGTGGCATCTTGTTATGGCAGGGTGAGGTGACTAATATAGTCTCCCAGCTCTAGCATAAGGAATTTCCTTCATTTTTCCCAATACAGCATTTACCACATTTTCTTCTTCCTTTTGGATTATGAGGGCTCTTTTTCACCATGTATTTCTAGCACAGACTCCATGGCTTCTGGCACAATGCATGGCACGCGAACTCAGTATTTAATGCATAAAATTAATTTCAACTCCTCCAAATTAGGAGAGGGAGTAAGGAAGAAGAGGTGAAATAAGGAAGAAAAGAGTGCTGTGGAGGAAAAATAGCCCATGCAATGAGAATGGAGGTGACTTTCACCCTAAGTACCAAAAGCCCCCAATAATTAATCTAATCTTGATTTTTGTTCTATACAATTAGCATGTTTTCCTATTTTCTATCTGTACTATAAAATTTGTATTAATATATACTGCTGACATTTGAAAGTTGTCCCACTGATTGCTTTATCTGTTTCTGTCCCCACCCATATTGCCAATGCTTTGTTGTCGGGGGCTTGTAAATTCTACTCAGTCTTCATAGTACCTAACCCAATACTAGACATGGTGGGTATTCAGTGAAGTCATGTTAATCTAATGACAAATGTGTGAATTTCAGTAGTTTCTCTTTGATCCAAAGGAATAGGCTTATACTTCCTTGTCCTTCAACAGAGAGCCAAGAACTCTTCAGAAATCATTTTCATGGGTTCCAGGACAATTCTTTCCTCTTACGGGACAAAGTGAAACACTATCTATTTTGAGGATACCCAAAAAGCATCTTAGCAACTTCATGTTTTTTCAATGCTATGATGATGACTTTTGCCAATGCTACTTGGTACTCAATGTCCAGAATAAACTAGAACAGGTTATTGACCTCCAGGCTGGCCTCTTTACACAGGCCTTCTTTCCAAGGACTCCATCGGGTACATGACAGGCATCTGAGAAGTACCGAAAGGACTAACTTCAAAAGACCACCTTCTAGTAAGAATTCAGAACCAAATAGTTTTTTAATGGTATTTCTTCACAGGTATTTAGTAAACAAATATTTTTAGACCTATGATAAAAATATGCTAAATGTTTATACATGCTTATAAACATATTAAATTAAAACACAAACACTTCAAAAGTCTAAAAGTTTATTGCCAGAATAGCAAACTTCATAAAGACACCTTAAAGTACATCGAATATGACAAGCAAAATAAACAGAAAACTTTGACCAAAGAAAAGATTGCCGCTGTCATGCACAGTCAAATTAATACCAAACCAAACAAGTACATCGAAGAGTATATGGGTTATACAATCCACACTCTGAAACTAAAGGAGACTCATTCCAAAATGCTTGGTTTTGGGTTGGGGGTTTGAGAGGGGGGCTGGTGCTGGGAGGGTAATTTTCTCCTAATACAGAATATGGAAATATTTAGATGAGAAGCAGAATGACTAAAATATCAGTGATCCATTTAATTTTTATCTCCAAGAATAGAAAACTGTATTATAGGCTTCCAAAATTAAAGAATTGATCAAAAATCGAAACACAGAAGAGAAGAAACAAATCCTAAGTTCGATTTGTGCTATTGTTACAACTGATTAGCACTTCAGACGCACTGCATCCAAGTGTACTGCTTATTTAAGATGAGCTAAGAAGATAAAAAGCCAGAACAGCCTTTACTATTTGATTTCAATCATGGCTATATTTTCTGTAAGCATAGAATGTCCTATCACTCTACTGCAAGCACCGGGATTTTCTTTTCTATTATTTAATAAAGTGGAAATTCATATAAATGAAGTCAAGGTATAGCAACCACTCCCAACTGACTACTAGTGCCCAATAGAACTACTGCTAAATGAGTAGGAATAAGAGTAGGAAGAATTCCCTGTGGCGTCAAAGCTTCCTCTCCGGGACCCACTGCGGGACCCGGAGCGAGATCCGGAGCGAGATCCCGAGCGGGAGCCGGAGCGGGACCCCGGAGCCGAAGACATGTTGTAAGGGCTGGGTAAGCCCTTGGACGACACGGAGGCGGCTTCCAGAAGGCGCAGCCCAGTGATATCTTCTACCATGGAGCGATTTATGGCATCCTTATAGGATATTTTTAATTTGGTTTTGGGGCAGGTCAGGATTTTGGCATAGCTGCTGGTGTCTTGCAGCCTCTGTGCGGCGCGGCCATCTATGAACCCCTTCCGGATGGCTTCTTCGGTGCTTATCCTCCCATGCACTTCCGGGTCAACAAGACCTCCCGTGAGGTACTGGAACTCCAGGAAGCGCTGGCCAGCCTCATACGGGAGCCATTTTTCTTTCACTGCCTCTGCTGCTGACATCTTCTTCTTTCCCTTCACACCCTCGAAGCCTATGAAGGCTTTCTGAGCAGGCTTCAGCCTGGTGGCCATGTCTTGGTCAATCACACCCTGGGAGACTGCGTCCTGAAGTGACAGCTTCTGGCCCGTGGTTGGGTGGATGATGCCACCTGTGCAGGCCTGAGCCTCCAGAAGCCTCTGACCCGTGATGCTGTCAACGATGCCCCGCTCTATACCTTCTGTAATGGAGATTTTCTCCAGGTTTTCTGTGTCAAAGATGGCTGCAATGGGGCTCGATTCTTCCAGGGTGTCTGAAAAAGAGCTGCTCCTTATGGTTAAATTCCTGACGCTGGATATGGTGGAAATCTTACTTACTGATTCATGTCGGGAGCTGCTAAAAACATCATCGCTGACACCACTGCCCATGCTGCTGCTGGTGCCGACACCATTTTTCAAGGAGATCATGTCAGCAAATTGAGTGAGGCTGAGGCTGCCGGATCGGTACTGATCAAAGAACTTCCTGTCAACAAGGCCCTTGTCAATAGCATCTTGAATATCATACTGACTGCCTGTCTTTCTATCTACCAGGACCACCCTGGTGGAGCCATCTGATCCCGTGATGGTTATTTCTTCCCATTCACATTCCTGCTCACACAGTTCTTTGAAGGTTTCATAATCAATTAGGCCCTTCTTGTAGGCCTCCTGAACAGACATTTCTTTATTGGTTTCTGGGTCAACTATGACCACTCTACGCTTCCTGAGGGTATTCTTTTGTGATGTCTGCACCTGTTTCTTCTTTTCTTTCAGAGGCAGAAGACAGAGCCCTGTTTCCTCATCCTTAATGCATCTTTCTTTTAGTTGCAGATAGGTAAGATTTTCTTCAGTGTTGGGGTCAAAAAATCCTTTGGTATCATCACTTGGATCTGAGAGAATCTCACTGAGTTCCTCATTGAAATAGCCCCTCTTATATGCTATGTCAACTGGTAAACGATGGCTCTCCTTTGGGTCAATGATCCCCCCGGTTGCGATCTGTGCTTCTAATAAGCGAATACCGTGGCCCTTTTCGATGAGTTCCTTATTCATGGCTTGGAACAAAGAGATGATGTTTCCTGTTTCAGGATCATTATACCCAGTGACAGCTCGTTCTGCAGACAGGAGCTTCTCTTTGAACTCAATGCCCACCAGACCTCTCTTGTAGGCTTCCTCCACTGGTAACCTCAAGTTGCTAACAGGATCCACTATAAAGCCAGTAGCTGCTTGGGCTTCCAGCAACTCCAGAGCAGTACCAGGTCGGACTAAGCCAATTTTCATGGCCTCATAAATGCCAAGCTTCTGTTTTGTGGTCTCATTGTATATGCCTGCTATGCAGCTTGAACCCTGGAGGAAGTCCTTAATTCTCTCACCAACCTCGTCATAAGAAATCTGACCAGATTCCAGTTCATTGACAGTGGACGGTCTCAATATACCAGAATCTACTAGCTCAGTGACGGTCACAGGTTGTCTGATTCCTTGGAAGGACATGCTTCTCTTCTGTACTGAAAGCAAGAGCAGACCAGTATGTGGTTCGATTCTGCACCGTTCCTTCAGCTGCACGTAACTGACCTTCTTTTTGGTGACTGGATCCACAAAGTTTTTCTGACTATCTCGGGGATCATTCAGGGATCGATACAAATCTCTATCAATCAGCCCCCGGGCCAAGGCGACATCTTTTGGCAAAAAGACACTGTTCACAGGGTCTACTACACCCCCTGAAGCAATCTGGGCTTCCAGCAGGCGCATTCCGGTTTCTCTATCAATCAAATTTTTCTTGATGGCTTCTGAAACAGATACTGTCTTGCCTGAAAATGGATCATCAAAACCAGTGATAGCTTTTTCTGCTGCATATATCTGCTGACGGTCATCGAAGTCAATGAGGTCCCGAGCTATGGCACTGTCGACAGTCAGCTTCTCATTCCGATGGGGATCAATTATACCACCTGTAGCTGCCTGGGCCTCCAGAAGCATGACTGTGGATTCTGGGCTGATTAATTTCTTTCTCTTGGCCTCTACCAAAGAGTATTTTTCCTTAGGAGAAGCAGATGCTCCAGCGATAGATCCTGCACCCCGAAGGAATGGCTGGATTTCAGAAGCAACTTCTTCCACTGACTTCTTCCCCTTCAATAGTTTGTCCAAGGTTGTTTTGTCGATCAGCTGACACTCATAGAGCTGCATTGCTGTCACCTTCTTCCTCAGCCCATCAAACACCAGCTTGGAGGTGTCAACGGTCCACTCACACTCAGTCTGGGTCTCTCGATGGGACCCATATGGGCGCTGTCTGAGTTTATCAATCTCCCTCTGATATCGGGAGCGTTCTGTTTCTAACTGTGACTGTGTCTCCCTGGTAGAATCCTCCAGCTTACGCCTGCACCTCTCTTCAATTCTCTTGATCTCTGCTTGGAGTCTTTCGATCTCACTCCTAAGACTGTTCTTCTCTCTCTCACTCTTTTCTCTTTCCGATTCTATCTTCCTAATAGCCTCCTCCTTGCGGGAATATTGAGTCTTCCACTGATTCAGGTCATTCTGAATTTGCTGTTTCTCACACTCCAGGCGCTGTTTCACCCTGGTTTCTGCCTCTAGAGTTGATTTTGCACGATTCAGCTCATCCTCCAGCCTCTGCAGCCTTGCCTTGTCTTGCTCCAGGACTTTGATTTTCACCAGAAGGCTCTCTCTTTCCTGTACCACCTGAGTACACTGATTCTTTGATTCCTGAATCCTATTAGATGCCTGGAATTGAAGAAGAAAGAAATGGGAAAAAATAATGTTTTGAATCATATCATATTACTATCACGACTTAACTTTCTTTTGTGTATCTATCTTTAAAAAAAAAAGCCTTGCTTATTTTTTCTTTCTATATTGTCCCTGGATACACTGTGAGCTTGTTATTTTACAAATTTGTGGGAAAAATTCTGTATATGTTGCCACTTCAATAAATGGCTTCATACTTACTATTTTTTTCTATAGAAGGAACTGTAAGTTGCAGACCTGTCTTACTCTTAACAATAATTATGCTTTGAAAAAATGTGGGGAGTTTTGTTTCAGGTTATCATACCTGCTACACCTACATCTCACCTGTTACAGCTAGATGAACATACTTAATGAAGCAATACAAATATATGAAGATATATATTATATAAAATATATATTATAGATAAATATATATTATGTAATTATATAATTATATATATAATATATAGATATACACACACACACACACACACACACACACCAACCCAGCCACACACAAATATTGTCTGTAGAAGTTAAATAAGTTATTTTTAAATTAAGGGTTAGGAGAAGGAAAGTCAAACAAAAGGAAACACACTAGGGCCATGATCAAAAGCGAACACTAAATAATCCATGCAAAAAAATCATCTAAGCAGGCAAAAGAAAAAGTGTTTTAAAAATTGCATAGGGAAACACTTTAGTATGGCTTCTATTTAAGAAAATTTTCATTACAAATGTATGTCATAGCTCACTAAATAAGAGCTAACTTCTAAGAAGTAGAATGGAACATTCGGAGGAAGTTATACATGTATTAGTGTTCTTAAAAGCAGGGCCAAACACAGGCTACCCAGAGATCAGCATTTGATGCAATTAAAGAACAGCAGGGCACACAGCATTGAAATTATTTTAAAGCAGTTACCTGGATTATGACAGGAAGTAGTAGAGCAATAAAAAGAAAAATTAGATTTTCTATAAGCATCTATTTAAGCAGAAAGAGCACAGTTCAGATGAGATAATAATGTGATGAATAATTTGAGAAACAGTGAAGCTGTGATCAAGTATTTGTGAATACCTCTAAAGCCTGCTTTTGGAATTTCTCAATTTCCTGTCTCAAATTTTCCCTCTCTCTCTGTAAATCATTAATCAGCCCCTGCAGTTCCAGGGTCCGGTTGTTGCTGATCTGCAGCTGGCTCCTTAGTTCCAAGATGGTTGCATTTTTATCACTGTCCGCTTCGCTTCGTCCTCTCCTCAGGTCATCGTACTCCAGCCTCAGGTTCCGCAGTTCTTCTTCTAACATCAAGTGCTCCTTGGTCAGGTTCTCTGTGAGAGACTGCAGCCTCTCAATTTCTATTTTGCTTTCATTTAAGCTTCTGCTTTTATCTTCTATCGCCTTCTGGAAATGCTCATTCCTCAAGTGAGCTTGTTTGACACTTTCCTGTTCCTGGAGTAACTGCCGCCTCAGGGCCTCGACCTCAGAAGAGAGCCTCCTCAGCTCTTCCTGGGTCCTCTGCTTTTCCCTCAGGTGGCCATCCAGCACGTCCCTCTGCTGCCGGAGGTCATCCTCACTCCTCTTCTTAACAATGGATGCCTGCTCCAGCTGCTGGGTCAGGTTGGTGATTTTGATGGCTTGCTCCTTCAGCGACCTCCTCATGCCTTCCAGCTCTTCCTCCAGCTTCTTCCTCTTGCAGGAGTCTTCTGACGCGGTCCTCTTCAGCCGATTCAGCTCCTCTTCCACCTTCTGCTTCTGCAGCTGCAGCTCTTTCAGAGAGTTCTGGAACCGCGTGATATCCTGGTCCTTCACAGTCCTCTCCTGGGAAACCCTTTCATAGTCGATCCTCAGGCGTGTCAGTTCTTGCTCCTGAACCTTCAGTTTGTTTATTGTCTCCGTCGCACTACTGTTTGCTTTCTGCAGGTCATACTGGACCCTTTGTAATCTCGCGTTTTCATCTTCCAGGCATTTCCGGTCATTTGTTTCTTTGTCGATCAGTTGTTTTAACCTTTCTATCTCCTTGTTTTTATCCTGGATGGTTTTGGCAGCATCATCAAGAGATTGCTTATATCTTACGCTCTCCTCTGTTCGCATCTGAGTGACTTGTCTCAGCTCAACCTCCAGCTGCTGTTTCCTCTGAGACACCTCAGAGCCAGTGGCCTTTTGCTGTTGGATGTCTTCTTCCACCCTCCTGAGATTCTCTGTGGTCTGGGTTAGAGTGTTCTTCAGCCTCTTTATTTCTTCAGATAAGCTCCTGTTTTCTCGGGTGAGATTGTCTATCTGAGCCCGGTAGCCACTGGTATCCTCTTCCTTCTGCATGGTGAGCTGGTGGATGGTGGTCTTGGTGATGTTGATCTCGGTCTCAAACTGATTTTTTAAGCTAATGATCTCCTCATCATAATTGTTTCTTACCTTACTCAGTTCATTTTCATATTCCCAGCGGCGCTTGGCCTCCTCCTGAAACTCAGCTTTGAGTCTCTCGATCTCCTTATTTTTGTCCTGAATGGTCTTGGCAGCCTCCTCCAGGGACTGCTTGTGCCGGGCATTGTCCTCAGAGCGCTGCTGCATGACCTGCTTCAGTTCTATCTCCAGATGCTGCTTCTTCTGCATTATCTCAGAGCCACAGGCCTTTTGCTGAAGGGCGTTTTCTTCAGCTCGCCTTCGCTGCTCAGTGGCCTGCAAGATGCTGTCATTGAGCCTGACAATTTCATCCTTCAGATCTCGATTTTCCCTTGAAAGTCTATCAAGCTGGTTTCTAAGATTTTTGGAATCATCCTCTTTTTGCATGGATATCTCCTTGATGGTGGTCTTCGTAATGTTAATCTCTGTTTCATACTTGTTCCTTAAATTACTCATCTCCTCATTATAGTGGTTTCTTACCTTTGCCAGCTCATTTTCATATTCTCTCTTCCGGGTGCCTTCTTCCTGCAGTAGAACCCTCAACCTTTCAATCTCGTACTCCTTCTCCTTGATGGCTTTCTCAGACTCTAATTTCTGCCAACCAAGGTTCTCCTTTTCACATTGCCTTGCTTTCTGCAGTTGGTCATAGTCATTCTTCTGTTGGTCAAATCTGTCTTCCACAGATTTTCTTCTTCTCTTTTCATCTTCAATCTCATAAGTCAGTCGGGTGATCTTCTCATTGAGTTCTTTTATTTGGCCGTAGCACTTGTCTAGATTTTGCTTAGCCGACTTCCCATCCAGCTCAGCCTGTCTCTTCAGCTCCTCCAGGCTCGCAAGCTTCGCTTTGAACTGGGAACACTCTGCCTGGTATTTCTGCAGGTTCTGATCCAGGAATTTGTTCTTATTACAGTTTTCCGAGTTGGCATCTCGGGCCAGTCTGAGCTCCTCTTCCAAAACTTCGATCTTGGTATTTTTCAGCTGTGGAATGAAATCAGAGATTATGTCAAAAGAAAAACACCTCACATTCCAAGAAAGAAGCAGTACTTTTCCCCTCCCAGACCAATGTGCATTCTTATTTCTCTTTACACACATGGACATACATGCAAAGAGTGACTAGGCAAATATTCAAGAAATCTGGATTCTCATCATAATTCTTGCACCAGCTGCTCATATGCTCTTAGCAAATGATATATTATCTTTGAGTCTGAGCTACCTCATCTGTAAAATGAGGTAATTTCTTTCAAAATCAAAAGCTTATGATTTCATAAATTATATTCCCTTTATTTCAAGTTTACATTAAAATAAGTTTACATATAATCTCAATTTAAGTATCATAAATGAGGAATAAAGGGAACAATCACTGAATATAAAAAATTCAAATATACCTAGTCCAAGATGTTATCTTTAACACAGAGAAATAAAGCAAATTCCTTAACCAAACATTAAATCAAGTGACTTTTGTTTGGCAAAGTTGTTGCAATATTATGACTATTACTTAAGTTCATTTAAAGCAGCGTATTGGAGCATGGAAGTAACCCCAGACTTACAAACAAGCAGTATTACACTAAACCTTTAGAGGAAATACAGTTTCACCAGGATGTGTCCAAATCCATGTTATAATGTGGAAGTAATAATAAGGTTCTATTCTATTTTCTTTTTTGACGCTACAAGAAAAGACAGTATAAATTACCTTCAGATCTTCCAAACTCTTCAGCATCTCACTTAAGAACCTGTAATAGTCTCCAGATCTTGTAAGTAGTTCAATGTACCGAGCATGAACATCTGCAGCCTTGGAGAAAAGGAAGGAAAGAAAGAAAAAGATATTGCATTAAAAAAAAAGTCCTATGTAATTTGACCGATTTTGTTTTCTAAAATAGTGAAATTATAAAGAGTGAATTCTCTTCTTTAGTGTGTTCATTCCAAAATCAGCAAAAGAAAGTACAGCAAAACAAAGGGCCAAAAATGTATCCCATTCTCATCTCTCCAGGCTGTTTCCCCTAAACCATCTGACAGGTACGATAGTCTCTGACATCTTTGAGAAGAGGCTGTCTTTTAGAAATTTCTGTATTTTCCACTTTTTAGAAGTCTCTCTCATCAAACCCAGAAATTTAAGCCCAATTTCTACAAAGACTCTAAATAACACATTCCTGATCATTTCTGAAAATGTATCATACATCAATGACTCACACTGGAGGGCACATAACCTGCTATTAAACCTCTTAAAGTGGTACCCTGTAATGGGATGAAATCAGCAATGGTAAGGAAGACAGGCAGGAGACAGGGAAAAGGGAAGAGGCAGGAGACAGGGAAAAGGGAAGAAGCAGAAGGAGGGGCAGGTTTTAAGAGATATGTGATGACATATATACCTCTTGCAGAATCACCCCAGAAGGGGACTGAATCATGGTCCTCTTGATAGGTATGTTCAGCAGAGTTTCCAGTCCTGAGGTGTATGAGGCCAGCTGGAGCTCATAATCCTGCAGCATAATGAAGTTTAAGAAAAGTGTCCTTCATAGACTTAAAAAGCATCACTAACAGCTACAGTTCCACAGTTTTAAATCATTGGGCTGCACGTCTAATTGCCCACTCCAAAGACTTTGCGCCACTAGTGGCCAAGCAACTAATACTACATTAGCGTGGTGGCTCACACCCATAATCCTGGCACTTTGGGAGGCCGAGCCGGGCAGATCCCCTGAGATCGGGAGTTCAAAACCAGCCTGACCAACACGGAGAAACCCTGTCTCTACTAAAAATATAAAATTAGCCGGGCATGGTGGTGCATGCCTGTAATCCCAGCTACTCAGGAAGCTGAGGCGGGAGAATCACTTGAACCCAGGAGGCAGAGGTTGCGGTGAGCCGAGATCACACCACTGCACTCCAGCCTGGGCAGCAAGAGCGAAACTCTCTCCAAACAAACAAACAAACAAACAAACACCATTATTAAACCAAGCAGTACATCTTTGTATGCTAAATGGAGAATGCAGCACCTACCACCAGTCAAAGAATAGAAACCAGCCATTCAAATGGATACTGCCAATGTGGAATGAATTCAAGCTAATAGATTTTTAATTTTTATGGTTTGTTCAGAAAAGAATATATACAGACCGTAATTGCTATCCTCAGGAAGTGTATACGCTTTACAACAAATCAGCAAGTCATGCAGTTAATAATAATCTTGGTGAAATACCAACATTCTTTATGAAACCAACATACCTTAATTGAATTGGCGCAAAGTTCAGCAATTTTTTGTACTTCCTCTGATTTGTCTCGTTTGCCAGATATTTCACTGTGCAAGTTCTATACAAAAAGTGAAATATTTACCAATGTTAATGCATACAAATATTTTTAAATAAATGTGATTTCACTCTTTTACCACTGTTATTTGTACCCTTTTTTCAGTTTATTACTACATGTACTTGTCTCATATTTTTATAGTTACAGCTTAGGAGATGAGCATTTTTTCCATTCAGAGAAGAGAAGCAAGCCCTTTAACTTACTATCTGTAAGAGGTTACTTTCTAGTCAGCCTGTTTTCTGGGCCTATCCCCTCAATTTATAAAGATAATTTATGATAACATGAAGAGAACAATATCACGTTATTTCTATGTTCATAATTTGCATTTCCTTGTAAACATCTCAGTTGCTTTTCCTCTGGGCATTCTTTAAGCCTTCACAAAATGGGTTAGTAATATTAAATATTCATCATTTCAAACCTAGGCACTGATACAAAAACCAGAGGAAAACATGAATTACACCCAATTAATCTCAAAACAGCTATGGAACAAAAAGTTGGCTTATACCTTCTGCTCATTCAAAAACCGCATGACTGTGTTGGAATCTCCAAATTTCATGGATTCTAAGGAATCCTGGCGGCGTTTAGCATCATAGAGCCACTTGCAGAAAGCCTGATAGTTATCACGATAATTCCTCAATTGCTTGATTTGTTTCTCCAGGTCCCATAACCTGGGGGGAAATAGATACAATAAAATCATTATCTTATTAGTTCCTAAAATATGTAACATAGAATCACCCAGAAATTCACTTGATATATACCCAAGAAAACTGATCATATTCCCACATAAAAACTTATACATGAATGTTCATAGCAGCACTTTTTATCACAGCCAAAAACTGGAAACAACTCAGGTATCAACTGATGAAAAGATCAACAAAATGTGGCACTGCCAAACAATGGAATATTATTCAATCATAAAAACACATGAAAAAAATAGAAAATGATGTACTGAAACATGATACAACACAGATGAACTCTGAAAGCACGATACTAAGTGAAAGAAGCCAGTCACAATGGACTACATATTGTATGATTCCAGTCATATAAAATTTCCAGAATAGGCAGATTCATATTCCAGAGATTTTTTAAACTCTTATTTGCAGAAAGGCATTTTTTTTGGTCTAAGATTTAATTTTCATAAACTTTTGGAGAATGCTAACTCAAGGCAGCTACTCCTTCCAAGAGTCATAACAAGAGTTTATAGGACACAAAAGAGCTGGCTAAAGGGCTTCTGCCGTTTCTCTAAGACCCTGGATGGCACCTGGCCTGCACAGGGTTGGCTATCGTGATGCATTCTCCTTCCATTTCTAACAAAGCTGCATACAGGCAGTCCATGAAAAGAGCATCTGTTACGCCTAACTTACACAAAAAACAAAACCTCTGTTTTCTTCAGTGGTTCCCTTCAAGTGACATTATCTTGTGAACAACCAAAAGGGGAGAAGATGGGGAAGGAGCGGGAGGAGGCTGGCATACCTAAAGTCGATCTGTTTATCTATCCTTTGCCAGCGGTCTGTCAGCTGTGTGACTTTTTCACCGAACTTGCCCAAGTCCAGATCATAAAGTGGATACTGCTGTGAAGTCTGAGAGTGGATCTGCTGGGCTTTCTGTAGTTCTGTCTTCATAGTGGCCAACAACGACTTCTTCAAGTTCAAGTCATTTTTTATTTTCTGCAAGATGAAAAAAAAAAAGATTGCAAATTAATCCCTTCTCCCATTGTATGCTACACTACAAGTCACCAAATTGGGCGGCAAAGTTTATAAAACACTTTAGAATATTCATAATTTAAAGTGTTAACAGTCAATCCAGGGAAATATATTTACTGAATTGCATTTCCCAGTATTTGTTCCAATAATCTTGTTCTTTGTGCTATCCTGTTATAATAATAATATGAACATATTAAAGTTTCTAAGAAGTCCCACAGTAAAGAAACCAGTTTAACTCAGCATTCCCCAAACTAATCCCATCACGAATTACTTTCTTATATAGTTCCTGCTAACACAGTCTGGAAAACAGAGTTACAGAGATGACAACTGATGTCAACCTGTGTGGCCACTGAAACCCAATAATCCTCAAAACTCATGAAAACCCAGTGAGGCTTTATAATTGGGAGCTCAGATCTGAATTAGTTCCTGTAAGTTGGGCCACTGTTATAAGCTTTCAAGTTACCTTCAGTCCACAGCGGTAAGCTTCCACTTTATCCAGGTCCAGGCAGACAGTTTCCTCCTCAGTGAGCCTGGCTTCATAAACCTTTAACATGTCTTCTGTTTGGAGAATAGCCTGGAGCAGTGCCCTTACTGTGCATAAGCTGGAAAGAGCAAAAGAAGCACATAAAATTGCCAGTGACATAATTAGTCTGTGAAGATTTGCCTCTCACAGCTAGTAATGAAAGGGAACAACGTCAAAGCAGATAAAAATTTATTTTGTCTGTTTTTTGGTCTATTGTGATTCAGACCAACATTTTGTATTCGCTGAAGAATTCTCAAGTTCTGGCCCTTAGAGCATAACTTAGTTCTAAGATAACATTATAGTTCAGAATAGTGGAATTAACATGCGAGGCTAGCGGAATTAACATGCTCTCCAAACCACAGAAGGATGTAAGTAAATCTCTAGTAACAGAGAAACTGTAAGGCAAGCATCTAAAGCAAATGAAGACCCAGAAAAAGAAGCTTGAGAAAAGGAAAATATGAGATTAGTGTTAGCTGAGTTTACCTATTTAAGTAGCCATCTGTAACACCATTGATATTTTCCAGTTTCTGAAATAGTCCAAATACTTCATTCTGTAAATAGCAGTACTTTTCAGAACCTCTGAAGTTGGCAAGCATATCTTTAAGCTGGTTGAGAACCTCAGCAATTGCTTGTGAATCATTCTGCACACTCTGTCAAAAATGAAGGAAAGCTCTTTTGATTTAGCTGATTCTTTTTATTACTGTATATATTTAAGGTGTACAATATGCTGTTTTAATACACATAGACACAGTGAAATGATTACATCAGGTAAGTAAATTAACACATCAGTCAACTTCCATGGTTATCTTTTTTTGTATGTGTGGTAAGAGCACCTAAAATCTACTCTCAGCAAAATTTCAATATACACTACAAGATTACTACCTGTAGTCTTGCGCTGAATTTAGATCTCTAGATTTATTCATCCCACACAAATGCAAGTTTGTATCCTTTACATCTTCCCATTTCCTCCTCCCTCCCCACCCCGGTAATCACCATCCTACTCTCTGTTTCCCTGCATTCAACTTTTTTCTTAGAATTTACACATAAGTGAAATCAAGCAGTATTTGTGTCTGGTGTATTTCACTTAGCATAATGTCCCCCACATTCATCCATGCTTTTGCAAATGGCAGGATCTCTTTCTTTCTTTTTTTTTTTTTTGAGACAGAGTCTCGCTCTGTCGCCCAGGCTGGAGTGCAATGGCGTGATCTCAGCTCACTGCAACCTCCATCTCCTGGGTTCAAGCGATTCTCCTGCCTCAGCCTCCTGAGTAGCTGAGATTACAGGCGCACGCCACCACACCCAGCTAATTTTTGTACTTTTTAGTAGAGATGGGGTTTCACCATGTTGGTCATGCTGGTCTTGAACTCCTGACCTTGTGATCCACCCGCCTCGGCCTCCCAAAGTGCTGGGATTACAGGCGTGAGCCACCGCACCTGGCCCCAGGATCTCTTTCTTTTTTAAAGGTAAATAGTACCCCACTGTGTGTGTGTATAGTCATGTGTCTACTAATGATGTTTTGGTCAATGATGAACTGTATACACAATGGTGGTCCCTTAAGATATATACACACACACATATGTACATACATACATATAAACACACACACACACACACACATTTTTTTTTAAAGAGAAGGGTCTTGCTCTGTTGCCCAGACTGGAGTACAGTGGTACAATCATAGCTCCCTGCAGCCTCCAACTCCTGAGCTCAAGCAAGTAGCTGGGATTACAGGCATGTGCCCCTGCATCCAGCCCCCGTAAGATTATAATACTGTATTTTTATTGTATCTTTTCGACGTTTAGATATATTTAGATACACACTTACCATTGTGTCACAATTGCCTACAGTATTTAGGACAGTCACATGCCCTACAGGTTTGTAGCCTAGGTGTATAGTAGGCTATACCATCTAGGTTTGTGTAAGTATGCTCTATGGCGCTTGCATGACAAAATCGCCTAACCATGCATTTCTTAGAATGTGCCCCGGTCATTAAGCAACACAACTACATTCCAATTTTGGCATACTGATCACACAGAGGTTAGTACTCTGCATTGTAGCTGTGTGAATCTTATGATCATTTTTGCCCTTAAAAAGTCCACTAAAAGTAAAGGATTCAAGGAAGAGAGAGGAGTTGACCTTCTATTTCTTTCTTGAGTATGGCCTCATTAGCACTGTAAATGTGATCCTCTTAGAATATCTCTATTTAGGCCTTCCAGTGCAGTGTGCCCAGGCTTGGTTGAGCAGAAAACATCACTGAGTTAGGAGCTGACACACCTGGGCCATAGTCACACTCTGTCTATGGCTTTGAGATCGTATCTCACCAACCAAATCTCTTCATGTCAGTGTCATGTCTACAAATAAAGATCATTCCCCCTGTCTAACCCATATCATAGGTTGTTCTCTGCAAGAAGCCAAATTAATGGTTGTGAAAACTTTTGAGATGGACGGTAGCCTGATTCAACAACACACAAACGAACAGTTTAACCCCCAGCCTGATAACCGTCTACAAATTTGGAAACATAATACATAAGGAAATCCTGCCAGAAGCCTGTTTTCTTGAAAGTTAATATTTTTGCCTACAAACATTTAAACCAGGATTTTTTTTATTCATTTACAGGTAAATAAAAATATACAGGGTAACCAGGCAAAATACTAGCAGATACCTACCTTAAGCTCGTTAATTTTCACTGTGATGTGGTGAGAAGATCCCTGGTCTGCTAGAGGGAGGTTTTTGAGAGTCATCCTGCCCTCGCAGTGCTCTATCTGCCTGCGAATCTTCTGCAGCTCCATCAGCATCCATGTTTCTTGCTTGTCATTTTCTCTGTTGGTTTCAATTACTTTATTATGGTTGACATCTTGGCAGGTTCCATGATGAGTGATTTCAGTTGTGGTCACTGTAAAAAGAAGTTAGGGCCACAAAAATCAGAGAATACCTAGGTATCAAGGTGCTAGGCCTCAAAAAACATCCATACTACCTAAAAGTATACCTTCTTCCTTTGAATTTCAGAATCAATTCTGAAAATTTAGTGCACGAAGAACACTGGCTATATAGCATTCAGAGAAATGGTTCTGAAACCAGTTTTATGCAAACTCCCTTCTTTTTAAAATGGTATGGATGGTTGATACAAAGAGAAAGATGTCCCAAGCCGACCTGTCTGGTGCTGGGGATAGCCAGGGAGCTGAATGACCAGGGTCTGGTAATGCTTCTGGGCATCGGTGAACTGAGACTGTATTTTCCGCTTGTCATCATCTCCAAACATCTCTGAGCCTTGGCTATTTCTGATGAACTCTTGGTAATGTAACTCAAGGTCGGCTATCGTCTTCATGTAATCTTCCTGCCGCATTGTTTTCAGCTGAAAGGAGACAGGCAGAAGTGATTTGGGATTTATGACTGCCCCACAATGCAATCAAGAAGAGTTGGCCAAAAAATGCCACCCACTAGATGGGACTCAAAGCAACACTCATCACAGGCTCATTAAGATATAAAAGGTCTTTTAGGTTTTAGACATTGTTCCCAAGAGCCACAGGAATGGGTTGCTAATTTTTTTTTTTTTTTTTTGCCTACAGAATATTTTTCTTCAACGAAATATTATTCAGAAGCCCTAAATGTAAAGCAGAGCCCAGCAAAGCTGCTCCAACTACAAAGAGAAAAAGGGCTCGGGGGACCCCAAAAGGTACTTTCTGTGCCCCTCTCCTCACTTCCATCCCTGTCACTCCTAAAGGATCTCCCTCTCCTGCTAGGATTCTTCAGACCATGATCTGAAAACAACTGATTTAGAGTAAGTAATGCTTTGGGTGCTCTTCCAAGAATTCTATCCCACCTTTTACTTTTGTGATACCCAGTTAATCCTTTATGACCTAACTTTCCATTACATCAAAGGAGCATAGGGTCCAGAATCTTACAGGAGTGCATGACTTTTCCACAGGCACTTCTGGCTTGCTTGTCAGGCCACCTGAATTAGTATTGCTTCTTTCTCTCATAATCAGCCATATGCTAATCCCTCCTGTTCTCTATTGGACAGACCAGAACCTCTAAGGAGGGCTGAGCTGACTTGCTTGACGAGACACAAAAGCACTGCTACACAGCAAGAAGGTTGAACTGTTGGACACAGGCACTGCGGGGGGCAGCGCTGCCCTCCCTCCAGGCAGCCTAAGTGGCCCTGAGGACATACCTTGGCGATTGTCATGGCCCTGATCTTCTCTATGTCAATCATGCAGTAGTGCCAGGACACCAGGCTCTTCATGTTGATGTAGAGCTGGTTCCACAGAGCCAAGATGGCTTCGTAGTACTGCTCAATCCTAAGAGGCACAAAGGGAAAACATGCTAGAGCCAGGCTTTCACACTTCATCCCAAATGGGAAACCTGGACACGCTCACACCACTGCACAAAAACCTACAACAGTCACTGATAAAGTAACAGGTAGAGGTATAACTTTGAAAACAGTTCATGGATTTGGATTCATTTACTCCCCAAAAGTACATTCTGAATTATCTACATTATTGGCTGACATATATACTACAACTTTTTGTTGTTGTCTTGTTTTTCGGCAACTTTGTAATTGACAGAGGTCTAAGGCAGGATGGCAGGTGCATTAGATGCCAATGACCCAAAGCTTGGTCATGAGCACACAGCAGCTTACTACACTACTCTCCCTATTCAGTGTGTGGTTGAAGATTTCGATACTAAATGGTTTAAAGGAATCTGCCATGGACAACCTGTTAAACGAATGTTCTTCCTACAATGAGTGAATATTGATATTAAAGGCATTTTATATTTGTAGCTACATGTATAACAACTGATTTTCTAAGAAAAGGAGAACCTTAAAATGATGCCTTTGAAGTGCATGACAAGTATTATTCACTCTGGCCCCACTACAGTCAGACATTCCTTTTTTTTTTTTGAGATGGAGTTTTGCTCTCGTTGCCCAGGCTGGAGTGCAGTGGCACGATCTCAGCTCACTGCAACCTCCCCCTCCCAGGTTCAAGCAATTCTCCTGCCTCAACCTCCCGAGTAGCTGGGATTACAGGCATGTACCACCACACCTGGCTAATTTTATATTTTTAGTAGAGACAGAGTTTCTCCATGTTGGTCAGGCTGGTCTCAAACTCCTAACCTCAGGTGATCCGCCCACCTCGGTCTCCCCAAGTGCTGGGATTACAGGCATAAGCCACCACACCCGGCCAGATATTCCCTTTTATTCTTCAATAACGACTGTCTATTCAACATAAAATTGCAAGACAAAGTGAAGGTGACCTTCACAAGGTTCCTTTTTTTAGAAGGTGTTTATTATGGCAAGGCATCGTGTGTCTAAGCTTCAGGTATAAACACCTGCCCTCTTCCTCTGCCCTCACATTCATGCGTGCATGCGTGGCTTTGGGAACTTGGATGACTTACTTGCAAGAGAGGTCCACGGCCAGTGGGTTCGGAGGAGGGATGATCAGCCCCACAGAGGGAACAAGCATGTCAACGCCTCCCGGGCCCGTCACGTACCACTTGCTGCGCTCGTTGTTGTCCTTCAGGATACACTCATCCCCCTTATGCACGATTTTCTGTAAGGCAAGCAACCCCAGGGTTTGGCTTTATTCATAAGTATGTGTTTTTATTTTTTTTCTCAATGATGGAAACAGAGATGAACACATGCGAATTATTAAAGCTTTTACGTTTTTCCCCTCAAATGAAGCTGATCATCATACAACCCAACAATACCGATGCTTTAAATAATACATGTGAGCCTAAAAGGTATACATGAAGTGAGCTACATTTTATTTATTTATTTGGTCTCACTGTGTCACCCATAGTGAGAGACATTCACTTTATATGCAACATAAAAGCATCATTTCTCATTTCTTTTATCAGAAATTTAAAGATGAGAGTGATCACAGACAACTTTGACATACTAGAAGAAAAGTATTAAGCCTTGCGAATTTTTAAAAGTTCTAAAAATAACTACTGTCCTTGTTATTGACAACTACCATATGATTCAGAACAGAGCTGCTGCTTTTGTTCCATAGCTGCTGATTTCATAGATCAAAGACATTGACTGTGGTGATTATTGAACTCTAGATTAAATGTTGCTTTCTTGATGGACAAAAATTTGTGTGTAAAGACAGGGAAAACTTTTGTATCATTCTAAATGAGTACACACCTGATCTTGTTTGTAGTCACAGAGAGCTCTGAGAATAATGGGTTTATTGCTTCTGTAGTCTGGGTTACGAGGCTTCAGCTGTACAATCTTCTTAGACTTGTTTACCAAGTTCTGCACCTGACGCTTGTATTCAAGGATTTTCTCTCGTTCTTTCTGCAATGGTGAATAAAATCATACTTAAACATAGATACCCTGTGAGTTTTAGAGGAGATTTTCAACCTGCATTAATGTAGCTACATGACACACTGAGTATCACTGCAGTTGCATCAATTGTAAAAAATCACAAATTCGTCGGCAGGAAACATGAGAACCTTTCATGACAACACTCTCCAGAAGCTATGCAGGCAGGAATTAAGTGGGCAGGGAAGAACATCCTTGTGTGAAAGGGCTATGCTGATAAAATTTGAAGTATGCGTTCCCAAAGGAATTGTCATGTGAAGTAATGTTCTCTCTGTTCTTATTTTCAACCAATTGCCCAGACTGAAGCAAAAGTAACTGTCAAGAGTAGTTGGGCATGTAAAGAAGTTAATTTTGAGAAAAGCCACTGGAAGCTGAAGAAAATGCTTGCTTGGCTCTGGGCGTGCATTGTACAATAATACTAATCAGAGCCAACTGCATCCAAGGCATGTGTTTTATCTCCCTGATCAGGCACAGCTGCTGAGGTTCTGGGTCTGAGACGATACCTCCAGCTCCTTGATCTGTTCCAGCAGGTGCTGCAGGGGCATGTTCTTGTCGCAGGGGTACTTCTTCCTGATGGAGTCCTGGAGCCCCTTCAGGTATGCTTCAGTAGACTGCGCCTCTTCAAAAAACTGTGAAGGATGAGAGTGATCAGTGAATGAACAGCAACTCAATGAGCAATTTCATCTAGTAGTTCTGTTTCAAGGATTGTCATCCCTAAACATCTCTTTGACAGGTGGCTAAAGGAAAAAATTCGTGCAGAAAGTATTTAGGTATGTGGCAGCGGGAAACTATTTGTAGGACTGATGGCAAGGTTGCAAATCTATGCTACTCTGCACTCAAAATCAATGAAGAGGATTTATGCAACATTTTGAAGATTATTTTCAGTGCTTTATAAAACACACTCAAAAGATTAGGTATTAAGACCTAAATAACAACAAAATTATCACTAAATATAAAAACCTGAAAGTAGGCAGCATTTTCTTTCAGATGAACATCAATGCACTTGGTGATCTGAAGAATCCAACTCCACTGCGTCTGCAGAGTGTCCATATAGGCCTGAAACAAGAAAATGTCAGCTGTCTTAGCCTAGCTCAGTTGTACAGATGCATGAACACCAAGAGATAGGTGAGCCTGCATGAAAGCTAGTAAGCAGTTTTTATCTCATTCTAAGTCAAGCAGATATTTTTCTAAAAGTTGGAAAGAGAATTTCTCACCATATATCTCTTGGTATGGTCAAAACTAAATTTTAAAATCAGCTTTCACAAATAGACACCATGAGGAGTCTTAGTCAAAATATGTATCACCCAAATAGCAGAGATACTGACCAATCAGAACTGTCACTGGGGCTAGCACTGGAGTGGCATCCCTTTGCCACACCGAGCCCTGTTCCTGGAGGATTGCTGAATCATGGGGAGGTTCGAGGCATCCAAGCAAAGGGCTTAGGGGGCTCAAGACAGTGATTCTTACCAACTGATATGGAACTTTCTGTGTTTTTTAACAAGCAGTATGGCCATACCAGTGGTACCAGCTAATGTCAGCCTTGAGCGTGGCCCAAAGATGGCAGTCTAGGGCAGCGGTCACCAAACTATAGCTCAAGGGCCACATGTGGCCCACTTCTATTTGTAAATAAAGTTTTATTGGAATACAGGCACACTCATTCATTTACACAGTGTCTATGCCTCCTTCTGCACTATAATAGCAGGGTTAAGTAATTGTAACAGAGACCAAATGGCCTGAAAGTCTAAAATACTGATTGTCTGGTCCTTTCCTGAAAAGAGTTTGCCAACCCCTGGTGTAGGGTATTGATCCCAAAATAGAAAATAAAGTTGGCACGGCTTTAAGTCATATAAGAATTACTCATTTGGTTAGTCTTACTTTATGAAAAGTTTTTTTTTTTCTAACAAAAATATAAACCTCATGAAGCCTACCTCAATTTTGTCTGAAGCTGGATGCTGATTGAGGACAAGTTGGTCACTTTCTTGTTTCAGCTTATTGAGCTCTTTTTCTTTAACTTCCAGTTGACTCATGCGTATCTGTGAATGAAGAAATAAGAAATCCTTTGCAGCAAGTCATCATTAAACTTCCATCACCCCCACAGTACTTTTTAAAAGTGAAATACAAAACTGCATTTTGGAAATGAACAATGCCAAAGAATCACGCTGTTTTCCTCAAGAATCACAGCATTTTTAAGGCTGAAAAGGATGTTTGCTACAGGAGAGGATGTGGCAGAGGCTTACTCAAGATGACACAGGAGGAAAGAAGAGCTACATCCATCCTGAGGTTTTCTAATCCCAGGCTTCCACCCACCCTCCTGCAGTGCCACACACATCCTGGGTTATCTGAACGTACCAGTTCTTATCCTCTCTAAACAAACTACGGTCTTCTGGGATATTAAACAAGGTATTGCCCCTCTTTTTCTTTTTAACTTTTATTTTAAGTTCAGGGATACATGTGCAGGTTTGTTACACAGGTAAACTTGTATCACAGGGATTTGTTGTACAGGTTATTTCATCACCCACGATTAAGCCTAGTACCCATTAGTTATCTTGCCTGATCCTCTCCCTCCTTCCACCTCCACCCTCTGCCCTCCGAAAGGCCCCAGTGTGTGTTGTTGCCCTCGATGTATCCATGTATTCTCATCATTTAGTTCCCACTCCTAAGTGAGAACATGTGGTATTTGGTTTTCTGTTCCCGCATAAGTTTGCTAAGGATAATGGCCTCCACACGGAGAAGTTTTCAGGAAGGAAGGATTTTTCACGACCATTTCAAAGAAGGCTGAATTGCAAGTGGCTGATTAAATTATTAATAGACCAATCATTCCCCGAGACCCCAGCTCTTCAAGGCAACAGGCTCAAGACAAGCATCTACAGCCGCGTGGGGTGAACTTACGGAGAAGGCCTCCTGTTTCTGAGCGATGTTGGTGTTCTTGTCGCTCCAGTCGTACAGCAGCTCCTCCTCCTCGCAGTCATTGATCCACATGATCTCCCTGGACGTGGCCTGAATGATGTTCTGCAGCTGTCGCAGGTGATCCATCCTCTCAAAGGACGCTTTCTGCACAGGAGGTTCAAAGGCAGCATTAAAATAACAATATGCAGTGACTGGTGTTCTCTGCAGGTTTAAAGATTAAACCTGTGGTCCCTTTAAAAAAAAAATCACACGGATAGGAAAAATGTTAACCTTGTGCATTCACTGACCACCTGGTATGGGAAAAGACCCATCCAAATCTGCAATGAACAAGAAGGCAGCAACTTTTTTTTTTTTGAGACGGACTGTCGCTCTCGTCTCCCAGGCTGGAGTGCAGTGGCATGAGCGATCTCGGTTCACTGCAACCTCCCCCTCCCGGGTTTAAGCGATTCTCCTGCCTCAGCTTCCCGAGTAGGTGGGATTACAGACATGCACCACCACGTCCTGCTAATTTTTGTATTTTTAGTAGAGACGGGGTTTCACCAGTTGGCCAGGCTGGTCTCGAACTCCCAACCTCAGATGATCCGCCCACCTCGGCCCCCCAAAGTGCTGGAATTATGGGCGTGAGCCACCACACCTGGCCTTAAATTTTTTTTATTCTTCTAAATAAGGTCTTTTTTTGGTATTTTTTACTGATATAGTTGTACATATTTGGGGGTACACATGATATCTGGACACATGTATACAATGTATAATGATCAAATCAGGATAAGTGGGATATCCATCACCTCGAACATTTATCTTTTCTGTGTGTTGGGAACATTACAAATATTTTCTTCAAGCTATTTTGAAATATACAATAAATTATCATTAACTATAATATCCCTATTGTACTATCAAATATTAGAACTTACTCCTTCTATCTAACTGTATTTTTGTACCCATCAATAATTAGTTTTGGACTATAAGGGGGAAAATGGACTGTTAGAGAAATCAAGCTTTTCCTACCTTCTCCCCAAAAATTCAAAGTGCCATAAGTCACACCCCAGCCCAATAGGAAAATCACTGTGTCACCACGAGTGACATTATTTAAAAAGTATCATTGCCAACAAGGAAACATTAAAAAGTAAAGATATGATGACACAAATAGGCAAAAGAATGGAAATCTCTCCTCTTATGAATCAAGTAACTGATATGACTGAGTGTCATAAAATTGTGATGACGATCTGGTAGACCTCTATCTTGAGAAAAATAACTTTTATTTTTGCTTACACTTCGTAAAAAAGACCACAATTCACAAGTGGCAACGTTTTCTTGCTTCAACTGCAAGTACTTAACAAGTGCCATTTATGTGACACAACTTGAAAACAGAACAGCAGTAGGGACTGACTTCTGAAAACAACTTTTAGGCCGGGCGCAGTGGCTCACGCCTGTAATCCCAGCACTTTGGAAGGCCAAGGCGGGCGGATCACTTGAGGTCAGGAGTTTGAGACCACCCTGGTTAACATGGTGAACATGGTGAAACCCTGTCTCTACTTAAAAGAAAAAAAGAAAAGAAAACAACTTTTAAAATTCACTTCTAAAGGAAACTCAGCAGCAGCAACAACATTAGCATCGATGAACAGGTGCCTCCCCGCCAGGATGTGCTTGATATTTCTTGAACTGAATTGAATTGGAAACAACAGAAAGTCGATGCACTTGAGAAATAAATCAGCTTACCAGCAGGTTTTCATACTCCTCCTCCAACTGGTAGATCGCAGATTTCTCGCGCTAGAAGACAACAAAAAGCAGGTAGATATAAATCCCCTTGTGGATTGTATAGAAAAGAGTGGCCCTTCTAAGCCTCCTTTTCTTCAGATACTGGCCTCAGATCCCTCCATAGAAAGAAAGAATTACTAGCTCTATGAGATATTTCACCCATGGGGACTTTTTCCTAGGCGGTTGGAAAGCAAACCCTTGCTGGCCTGGCAGCACCGTCTCCACAAAGGAAAGCCCAGATCAGGGTCACTTAAAGACTCACGTGTTAGAAAATTGTCTTAAAGTTTAAAGACATCATTTAGGATTCCCTAGGTCTTAGAGAAATGAAGGAGAAAGTTGGTCAGGGGCTCAGGTGGACAAAAGTAAGCCCCAAAAAGCCAGAAGAAGAAATGAGGATGAGAAGCTATGGTCTCAGGTAAAAAAAAAAAAAAAAAGTTTAGTGATTTACAAGTGTAGAGACCTGCGGGAAACTAAGCACTTAAGATCAGTTATGATTTTATGCTGTAATTCTCAACCCAGTTTCAAGTCTGACTTTTTTCAGCATGGGAGCGGGTGTCGGGATGACATATGGCTTTGCTCAGTAGAAATAATGTTTTAATTACCACCTAGGAAAGGATTCACCAATGACACAAACTACTGTATAAGACTGTTGCATTTCCCCTATTCAAAAAGATGTTCTGCTTACCGCAGAAACAAACTGCCACCCCTAAAGAGACTTATTCACAAACTGCAAATGAGTGTTTGCACAACCTCAGCCTCTGGTTTAACTCCTCTTCAAGTGTTAACATAATCTCTAATAGGGCTACTGATTCCACTTCCCCATTTAAGAAGTGGGATTTCTAAACATTTCCAGTCTTCTGGGAAAGAAATAATAGCAATGTTTCAGAAGAAACTCCCTGGGATTGAGTAATTACACGATCCTTCGGTAGATATTTTGAAGACTCTAAAATGAAACACAGACAAGTACCAGGTCGGCTTTGATTTTGTCCAGCTGCCAGCGATAGTCGCCGATGGAGTTGTGGATGCCCCGGTGGCTGTTAATGTGCTGCTCCACTGAGGCCAGGTCCACACCCCAGGCCACCATGTCCATCTCCGCCTGCGACACAAAGACAAAGAGAGGCGCCCTTTGTTGTTGCCCCTTTGCACCTGTTTCACTTACGCACACCATCACGGCTTTACTTCAGATAGAACCAAAGATGTAAATATGGAGTATTTTTGAAGCCAGAATATTTTTTAAAGGTTCCCAAATGGCTAATGCAGGGTTGCCAAATACTTCCCTCAACTTGCTTGACCCCAGCTCAAGATGGGCAGAGAAGGAAATTTAGAAATGGGAACCTGAAAACCAAGATCATGTCTTCTGAAAAAAAAAAAAAACCAAATCTACCTGTGCACAGGCAAGC
The DNA here is from genome assembly GCF_000001405.40 of Homo sapiens. NCBI lineage: Eukaryota > Metazoa > Chordata > Mammalia > Primates > Hominidae > Homo > Homo sapiens. The sequence continues at coordinate 7,562,347 of NC_000006.12, read as the reverse complement.
AAGCATGTGCACAGAACATATGTGTGCATATATATGTATGATATGTTATAAAATACTCATTTAATCATTCTTAAATGTGCATAAAAAAATCATTAAATAAATGCAATCATACACTGTTCCCCAAACTAAATAGTCAACCTAAAAGCATCTTTCATTGTTTATTTCTTTATATTGTCTTGATGGATGTAATTATTGGCTTTTTAAAATCCAGGATATACCATTCCCTTTTAGGATGCAAAACTCCCTATGGGCCACTTCAAAGGGAAGTCACTATATCTACTCAAGGATTCAATTTCCATGAGTGTTGGCAATATTAGGATTGTGGACTTAAGTTACCTTTTTTAAAAAATTAAATCTGACTAAATTTATTATTTGAGCCTCAAATTTAAGAATGTTTCACAATAAGAATCACACACACTGTTCCGCCAGTTCCACACTGGGGCAAGTCCATTATCTCACCCTTCTTTTGCATGAGTACATGTAAATTTCCAAATCACCTGTGTCATCTCTTGGACATGCCAAGGGCAAACATTCCAATCTGGGATTGCAGCAAGAACATAAAACACATTGTTCTAAGCCACATCCATGTTCTAATACACTTGGCAAGGCTTCAGAAAGGGGAGCCATTTCAGAGTCAGACAACAGAAGGTTACCCGGGACTTTGACCCTTCTCTCCCACAGCTGTCTCGGCTTTAAACCAGAGACAGCCAGGTGCGTGCAGTGGGACATTAGCAACGTGACCAGGCTCCAGCTCAGGCGTCTCATTACCAGCCAGGTGTATCGTATCTGACCTGTCCATCGGCAAACACAAATCGGGAAAACAAAACAAAAACCTGGCTCAGGAGTGCCTGCCTCCTGACTGGCTGCTGGGGCAACAGTTCCCTTATCAGCTGGGCCCTGCAGCTCAGTCTCCTGGGAATGAGGTAAAGCATGCAGGGGAACAAGCGATAAGAGGAAAGGAGCCACAGCAAATCCCAGAGCGAACCTGCAGTAAGCAATCAAACAGCTTTTAGTTTGTTTGCAACCATGAGGGCTGCGTGCCTAACCCGGAAAGCATCGCTTATCAATTGCTTCTGTTAGAAAACGACATAAAACTGGCTGGGCGTGGTGGCTCACACCTGTAAACCCAATACTTTGGGAGGCCAAGGCGGGCGGATCACAAGGTCAGGAGTTCGAGATCAGCCTGACCAATATGGCAAAACCCCCGTCTCTACTAAAAATGCAAAAAATCAGCTTGCCATGGTGGCACACGCCTGTAGTCCCAGATACTCGGCAGGCTGAAGCAGGAGAATTGCTTGAACCCGGGAGATAGAGGTTGCAGTGAGACGAGATCATGCCACTGCACTCCTGCCTGGGCAACAGAGTGAGACTCCCTCTCAAAAAAAAAAAAAAGAAAATGACATAAAACTGAATTCATGTGGTAATACTTTTCCAAAATTTAAAGACATTGAGCATTTACTACATTCTTAAGCTACACCCAACATAAATACAAAAAAATGACAAATTACAGGCTGTCTTTTTTTATAACTGTCATACTAAGAAAACTTTAGGAGATATGACATTTCAAACTAATTTGATTGGAAGGCTGTTTTGCCCATCATTGTGGATCCTTAAGATGTAGTTAAGCCCCATCAGCTCCGCTATGTCTTCCTGTGACTGTTCCACTCCACAGGAGCTGGCCACCCTCCCCTCTAACTAAGCAAGAATGTATTATAGCTGATCTAGACAGAAATTTGGCATTTGAGCGTATGCATCTTGTTTTCTTCGATAACATTCATTTTCAGGACTAGGGACCATAATCTTTGTACCCTTGGGTGGCACTACATATAAAATCCTCAAGAAATGTGCTCGAAGATTAGAAGGAAATTTGAAAAACATACAAATAGATTTGTATTTAGGTTTCTGATATTTTAACTGACTTTTGTTCTTTCTAAGCCTTACCTTCTGTAATAGCTTATATTCTTTATAATAAATGGGAGAAAAAGGTAACTGAATGAATGAATAAATGTTTAGTCACTGAAGTCCTCACTACTTAGGAAAGAATACACAAAAATTTTAAAGGAGTTGAGAAATTTTAGAACCACTGCTGAATTAGTCTAACAACTAATCAAACCAAGCTTTCTTACAACCACATCTAAATTGCATAACAATCTCTCCACAACTTATCACTCTAACACATCCACATTCTCAAGGGAAGGGTTAGGAGTAGGTTTTCATTATAAAATTCCCATCTACATGATTGTGGCATATTTCTACCACCACCTGTTCATTATAGGACATAATGACTACATGAAACAACACAACAATCATTAGTCTTGAAAAATACTTTGCAGAAACTCCAGTTCTAGGGAAAGGATCAGCATATCCTTCCAACATTATTTTGCTTCACTCCCACACTGGTGACGTGATGGTTGCACAATGAGACAACTGAGACTTCAAAAGTCTAAGGTAAGCAACCAATGAGCCTAAACCAGAATGGCTAGTTTCACTGTTTCCAGCTCCTCCAATCTATGACCATTTTAAATGAACTGCCACAATGGGCTTTTTTTCAAGTACCTATGAGTAAAACAGATGAGGTCAGTTGCCACTCACATAGAACAATGAAGTTATTTAGCACATAAACTCCCACAACAGATCTTTCCGGTGGTCAATATAAGAACTGGATATTCAAAGTCTACTAACTAAATTACACATGTTAAATATGACCTGTGTGATAAAGGATGACTATAAAGCAATGAGGCTGATTCCCCAAGCCACACTGAAATCTCATTCATTCCAAAATAGAAGACCACTTTTCAAATTGTATAGGAGGAAAATCCTGCAAACAGCAAGCTGCTGCCGCCACCTGAGGTCTAGAAGACTCTTTGTCACACAAACACATGGGCTGACCCCATCGTGCTGGAACGTCTGGCCTGCACAGGTTTGGGCTGTTCAAGAAGCTGCTTACCCTTTGCTGCCTCATCCACCCCAAACATTCACTGGTGACATGTTTGGTGAACTCATCCCAGCCAGAGCCACTCTGACAAGTGTAGCCTCCACCACCCTTGGAGCTGGCCCTGCGGACTCGAGGGACACTGATGGCTTTATAAAGGGCTCGCATTTGCTCTTGGAGCTGAAGAAGCCTGCAAAGAAAAAAACCTTTAAACCACTGCAGGAAAACAGCCTATGAAAACCCGTTCTGGGCAAATTTCCCCTTTTCTGAGTCTTTTGTGTCAATAGAGAAGCTACAAATGTTTTATGGTATTTGAAGATTTTTTTTTCTTTACCCCAGGACTTAAGTCTTAATCACATACAAAAAATTAAATCTTAGGAAGAGGTTCAAAGTGCGTAACAGCATAGAAAGCGTCACTGCCTTTGCCTAACCTGGGAGCAACTTTCATTTTCTCTTGCGTTTTGTCCTGGGAGTTTTCCTAGTACCCTGGGCCCCAGGTAGTAGTAGAACAAATTCAGACTACATTTTTCTGCCTTATAGTCTTTGTTTCCAACTCTAAGGGTCTCATTTTTATATTTATTAAACTAAGCTTGACTTGATATTAGACCCTTAAGTGATTCACACCTGTAATCCCAGCACTTTGGGAAGCACAAGACGGAGGATTGCTTGAGCCTAGGACTTCGAGATCAGCCTAAGCAACATGGCAAAACCCTGTCTCCACAAAAAATTTTTTTTTAATTTGCTAGGTATGGCACATGCCGATAGCCCAACTACTTGATAGGCTGAAGTGGGAGGATTGCTTGAGCCCAGGAGGTTGAGGCTGCGGCGAGCCACATTTGTGCCACTGCACTCCAGCCTGGGTGACAGAGCGAGACCCTGTCTCAAAAAAAAAAAAAAAAAAAAAAAAAGTCAAATGCCATGCCAAAGGGCTTTCTGTCCTCTAAAGGGAGGTACAGTTAACACCTATAATGAAATGGTCACTTTGTATTAGAGATACATAATAAAGTTGCAAAATACCAAGTAAGCAAACCTTTCCTTGGGAACATTTGTGCTGCCTTCAAAGGAAGCCCTGGGTCATGGAATTGAGTGTAACTGGTTATGTGGTGTTCTTTTTCATGGGGACTGCCCGATCCATGCTCTGTGGACAATACCTTTTCTGGTAAGCATCACAGGGCTGGCCCATCTGCCGCATCTCTCTGATCAAGCTGTCGAGGATTTCCATTTGGTCATTGGCCTGGGCAAAACACTCATCCAATTCTCGACTCCGAGTCAGTTGTATTCCATCTCCATACTTCAATTCCTGAAAGAAAACACTCACATGAAGGAAAACACATACTACCAGGAAGAAAACCTTCATGGGCATTAATGGAAGCAAGAGCTTCCACTGTAAACATGACAAAAACTGTAAGTTTCGCCAGTGAAAATGATCTTATTGAGATAAGAAGGTAAACAGACGGAGATTCATGAACCAAAGTTTGTGGACTGTCTTTTAAATTTGCACTTGGCTTTTAAAGTCACATTTGCTGAATGCTAACCTTCCCCTTGCTTCAGTATGTTAAATGCTGATCTTTCATATTTACACACAAGTCTCATATAATGGGAATCTCATTGTGACAAGGACACTGTACCATTATGGTACAGTGGTACAGATGGGGCCTCTTATGCACAGAGTTTTTCCTATACCTTATGAGAACATAATGTTTTAGTTCTTTTTTTATTTTTATTTTTATTTTTTTGAGACAGAGCCTTGCTCTGTTGCCCAGGCTAGAGTGCAGTGGCACGATCTCAGCTCACTGCAACCTCTGCCTCCTGGATTCAAGTGATTCTCCTGCCTCAGGCTCCTGAGTAGCTGAGACTACAGGCATGTGCCACCACGCCAGGCTAATTTTTGTATTTTTAATAGAGACAGGGTTTCACCACATTGGCCAGGCTGGTCTTGAACTCCTGACCTCAAGTGATACACCCGCCTCGGCCTCCCAAAGTGCTGGGATTACAAGCGTGAGCCACCACGCCTGGCCAACGTTTTAGTTCTTAAAAAGAAGGCTTCTGCCTGGTTAACTGTATTGGGCCAATCAATGTCCTGGTTTTGATGATGCGCTATAATCATATAAGATGTCACTACTGGGCGAAGCTGGGTGCTGGGTAGAGACCCCTTTGTACTATTTTTGCAACTTCTTATGAGTCTATAACTACTTCAAAATTTAAAAAGGCTTTTGTATTCAGAAAAACAAAAACAGAAAGCTTCCTCCTCTGCTTCAGTAACACCTACTGATCTTTCTCTGGAATTTTATATTTGCTGCTTTTACTTGGCTTTAGTCAAATGAACCTCTTTTCTCTAAACAGAAATGTTAGCAAATATGACACTATTTCCCTAACCTGTTTTTATTTATTGCACGTTGATGCATATAAGCAAAAATAAACTGAGAACATGAGGCCATGCAAAATTTTCAGAGCTACATGTAAAACGTATCCATAGTCACTACAAATGACGTGTGTGTGTGTATGTTCACTATTAAGTCACTGGTGTCTGCTATTTTGTTTTGTGTAAAGGAATCGGGCCACTGCGAGGAACATTTCAAGGAGTATGTTTCAAATCAGACACTCGAAACAACTAGAACTGGAGCCAAGCTAGTTTGCTGAGCCCCAAATATCTCTGAACATGGACTAACGTGACATTCTTTTTTTAACTGGATGAAGAAATTCAGAACTAGAACCCACACAATATCTAAATTAAGAAATTAGAATATTAAAATGTTATCTAAACAGAGCCCGTAAATTCATCTGGTTAAAATCTGTTTCAAATGTAGGCTATTTAGAAGGGGTACTTTGTGAAGAGGCAGATGCCAGATGTAACCTTGATACCAGTGTCGGCATTAGGGAGACTTCGCTGAAAAGATTCAGTGACTCAGGAAAGGGATAGAAAAGATGGCTACGGCCCCACCATTCTCTATTCTGTTTTTAGCAAACTCGGAGCAAAGGTGAATGCTAGTGTTTTAAAATGAAGACTTCACACAGCAAATACCACGAACTCCATGATTTCTAATCTGGATTCGATGAGATCCTAGGATGTCTCAGTTATCTTAAGAAACATCGCAAGGTTCTCAGAAATGTTACCATTTCTCCTCAATTTTCCATTGCCTATTTTTCCCCATTTTTCTGTTTCTCAGATAGAATTGTTATCTCAATATAGTCATTTTCTCTGAAAAAAAAAATCATACTAAATTGATGGTGCACATGAAGATCCATCCCAACCCAGGAACAGAAACATGCCAGGTTGCATTTCTCAGAAGGGAAAGTATCAAAAAGTCACGTAAATCATAAATTGCTTTATTTCCAAAAAGGTGGCAATCTGTAGTGTAAACATTTGTTGGGAGGGGGACGGGGAACTGTCTGAAAGCTGGTTCTCATTGTTAAACCAACATTACAAATAGGTTAAGAAGACACACATCTCTCTGTAGTCTGTTCTGAAAAAGCGTGTCTCTAAACACTACGTGAAAGAGGTCAGTGAATAGGCCCCGGCCAGCAGAAGCTAACCAGAGGACAGTCGGGTGTGGCCAAGGCTTTGGGAGAAGCGATGGGAACAGGGAAAGCTTACAGGCTGCACGATGAGCTCTGCTCGCATCAAGCAGTCGGAGCAGTTCTGCAGCAGCTCCTGGATGGTGTTCTGGTTCTGGTGCCTGGACATCGTGCCGGTTTGACTAAGGAGGCAAACACAGAGAAACCAGACATCAAATAACCTATTTCAATTCTGAAATAATTTCAAACTTGCAAAAGTTGCAAAAACGGGACAAAACCACTCCTGTGAGACCCTTTACCCGGAATCCCAATTGTTAACATTTTGTTGTGTTTCTTTTATCCCCCTTCTCCCCTCTCCATAGATGTGTGTGTATTTATCTGTGTGTATATATTATTTTTTCTGAACCACTTGAGAATAACCATGCCCTTCTACCCCCAAATATTTCAGCATATATTTATCTATGTATACATATTATTTTTTTCTGAATCATTTGAGAACATGGCTTTTTAACCCCCAAATATCTTAGCATATCATTCCTAAGAATAAAAACATTCACTTATATATAACCACAATACAATGATGAGAAGCAGAAAATTTACAATTGACACAAATGATTTTCTAATTTATAGAACTTGTTCAGATTTCACCAATTAGCCCAATAATGTCATTCACAGCAAGTTTTCCCCTCCCAGGTCCAGGATCCAATCCAGAAATATATCTCTCTGAGTTATAAAAACACACTTCTGGCAATGACAATGACACACAGCTATTTCAGCTTCACTCCTGCTTCATCCCACAGCGGTCCCTAATGACAGTCCCCAACACCACAAGTCCCTCTGCAGGAAGACCTCATGGTGTCAGACACAGAGCATGAAGATTTCACTGGCAAGTCGGGCTGAAGGAAAGGTAGGAGAGGAGAAAAAAGCTTACTCTACAAAAATATTGGCCGGACACAGTGGTTCACACCTGTAATCCCAGTGCTTTGGGAAGCCAAGGCAGGCAGACTGATTAAGTCTAGGAGTTGGAGACCAGCCTGAGCAACATAGCAAGACCCTGTCTTACAAAAAAAAAAAAGATTGTTTTTAAATTAGCCAAACATGGTGATGCATGCCTGTAGCTCTAGCTACTCAGGCAGCTGAGGTGGGAGGATCACTTGAGCCCACGAGTTGGAGGCTACAGTGAGCTATGATCACAGCACTGCACTCTTGCCTCGGTGACAGAGTGAGACCCTGTCTGTAAAAATATATATATATATTTTCTGTAATTCCTGTAAAAGACAATAATGTTTTTTTTAAAAATCATGGTGTGAAGAAAGTGATGGAAAATTTAAATACATTGTCTTTATCGCAAAACAAACCCATTCTCCTTTCAAGATGTTCCTAGAATACCTATTTTTCTCTACAATGAAGCTCATTCAATGTACATTTCAAATGAGGCACTTTTCTGGAAGACACCTAGCAGAAACCTTAAAACAACGGTGGTGTTGGCGGAAAATGTTGCAGATGGTCTGTATCTTAAAGAACGAGATGACAGAGTTTCATTTGCTCTTCAAGCAAGGTATAACCAAAGTCTGGCTTTTAAATTTACCAAGATATATTATGCCACAGCACAGCCTACTGTAGTTTGGTTTCAGAGAGATTTAAAGCAGACCAAGTGATTATTTAATGTCTGTGAAAAGTCCTCACGGATGTGCTACAAGAAGTTGGCTCTTCCTACCTTCAGCCAGGGCCAGCCTGAGCCTGCTTTTATCTGATGCCTGTCTAACCAACTGGGTGTGTGTGTGTGTGTGTGTGTGTGTGTGTGTGTGTGTGTGTGTTTTAAAGAAAGAATTTCACTGTTTAAAAAAAAATGTTTGACAAACAATGGTTGCATTATGCATAGATGGGATAAGATCACAGTAATGTGGGAATTCTCCCGAAGCACCTGGCTGCACTGTCTCACCATGGGAAAGCATTTCTTTTTTGGCCACCCATTTGGGGTTCCTCCCTGCAGGCAAGGCTCCCCAACAAGCCAGGACTAGATGAATGTGGGTGAGGAGCCCAGACCTCCCTGGGAACTACTCCCAGAAGAAGACACAGGCTCCTCCAGGCAGGCCCAGGGGAGGTGGTGCCAGAGCCATCCAGCTCTCGAAACCAAGACTGCCCCCACCCACCACCAATGCAACCAGTCTCTGTCTTCCACTCCGAATTATACAGGAAATGAGGTCCGTTTCTCATACTGCTGAGATACAAGCAAGATCACATTTGTTGTCCTAACTTGTGCAGAATTCCAACTGACTTAGAACACCTTCCAAAACGTACCTGTTATCAAACAGAGGAAAGAAATTCAAGAGACAAAGGAAAACATTAAGAAGCCCAGCAACCTCACTTAGAACCCTAGGATGAATTAAAAAATTAGGAAGGTCCTGTGTAATTATCTTTATTTTCTTCATTGAAGGGGCATAGGAATACCTTTATTCTGAAACATTAAGAAATTCTGTTCAGCAATTTGGCTCCGAAGGTGATTCCCACAAAGAATGCCAGTCCCAAGCAGATAAATGAAAGAGTTGTCTCTTAGCACAATGGAAAGTCAGAGTTTCCTAAATGATTTAATAATGTGTGCCACTGTAAAAACAATCACAAACTGAGCTATAAGATGAGGGTGGGGCACGCCTGTAATCCCCGCACTTTGGGAGGCCAAGGCAAAAGGATTGCTTGAGCTCAGGAGTTCAAGACTAGCCTGGGCAACACAGCATAAAACCCCGCTGTTAAAAAAAAATAAAATGATGGAGGCATGGGAAACTGGGTGAGGGTATACACAAACTTTGTACTATTTTGTAACTTTTCTGCAAATCTAAAACTATTCTAGAATTAAAATGTATTAAAAAACAGAGACAGGGAGGACAAACACAATTGTGAATGAACGCACCGAAGTGTACATACACATTTTTAAAAGTGAATTTATGAGATCAAATTCATTTGACCACAAAATATAAAACTTGCCAACTTCTTTTTACCCAAGAACTAGACTGATTAGTTATACCACAGTTAGAAACGAATTACATCCAGGATAAAGGAGGTAAGGCAACCAAACATTGGCTTAAAACATTGGTGGGTTTGCTCTGTTTTTTAATTCCCTCCCCCTAGTTTTAGAAGACATTCCTATTTCTCTAGAGATCAGTTGACATCCTATAAAGAGAAGACACCTTGCCTGCCTTCCCTTGCCTACCCATATTTGAACTTAAAAAAAAAAAAAAACAACAGGTAACTTTATATGCTGCTAATAATACCAAATAAATTCTTCGTGCTTTTCTAAAGGATTTCCATTTCCATATGTTCTTTTTTTTTTTTTTTTTCCGAGATGGAGTCTTGCTCTGTCACCCAGGCTGGAGTGCAGTGGCATGATCTCGGCTCACTGCAACCTCCACTTCCTGGGTTCAAGTGATTCTCCTGCCTCAGCCTCTGGAGTAGCTGGGACTACAGGCATGCACCACCACGCCCAGCTATTTTTTTTTTTTTGTATTTTTAATAGAGATGGGGTTTCACCATGTTGGTCAGGCTGGTCTCAAACTCCTGACCTCAAATGATCTGCCCACCTCGGCCTCCCAAAGTGTTAGGATTACAGGCGTGAGCCACCGCGCCCTGTCTCATATGTTCCTGATATCCACTAAAAAACTTACATGTTTTGCACAGCATCTTAGTAAATAAATTAACAACTGTATAGGAATGGGGAATGCACAGAAATCTAATCCTTTGAAGGGTTGAAAAAATAAAAAGCTTAAGTGTTGGAACAATGAAATAAAGAATCTTTGATATCATTATTTGTCTATTGGGAAGTGTGATCTGATTAACGAAATTTCATCATATACACAACTTTTCAAGACCGCGTCTGATCCTTAAAACAAGGTCTACTTCTATCTTTCATCTGTAAGAATCCAACTTCAGTCTTAGGTGTGGCCAAGAATTCCCTTTGGAAACAGACCGAGGCGAGAAAAGGAACTAGGTATATACCTTGTGAATGGCTCGGTCCATCAAAACAAGATAGAGGGAGACTCAGGCCAACTAAGGTATAGGGAATCCACCTTGCCAGGTCAGTTTGCTTGTCTTAGCCCAATGAAGAATCCACACAGAACTCGCTGTACTTAATCAGGGAGGAAGTTCAGCGGAAATGATTTCGACCCATCGGGTCAGTCTGATGTCAGACATACACCAGCTGTATGTGTAGCACTGGATTCTTCAGCACGAGAGCCAGGAGAGCTTGCTTCAGGAAACATGCCTGTTTTTTTTTTTTGAGAAGGAGTCTCACTCTGTCGCCCAGGCTGGAGTGCAGTGGCACAATCTCAGCTCATTGCAACCTCCACATCCTGGGTTCAAGTGATTCTTCTGCCTCAGCCTCCCAAGTAGCTGGGATTACAGGCACACTGCCACCACGCAAAGCTAATTTTTGTATTTTTAGTAGAGACAGGGTTTCACCAAATTTTGGCCAGCCTGGTCTCAAACTCCTGACCTCAAGGGATCCACCCGCCTTGGCCTCCCAAAGTGCTGGGATTACAGATGGGAGGCACCACTCCCAGCCAGGAAACATGCATTTTTTTAAAAGCTGTAATTCAAACCTTTCTAAGTCAGATTATATATATATATGTTATTGACTACACAATTTTAGATTTTTTTTTAATCTCAGAAATTTCTATCTCCATCTGTTGGGCTAAATGGTATGTAAGATTTCTTCACCTCATTCATTCTGTAACTCAATTTTAGGAAATGACCAAACTCATTCTTCCTTACTGAAAATAATACAAATGTCTATGTTAAGTTCATGGTAAATAAATTTATTCATGCTAATTGAATTAAATTTAATTCATATAGTGCAGTTTGGGAAAATGCAAAATTCTATAATGGATAAAGAAATAATTTTAAAATGATGTACTTACAAGCGTATACACATTTTTTTAAATCCCTACCCTCAAAGAAATTTTTAATACTGCTACATATGGGTGTTAGGGGTTGAAAGATTTTCAAATCATGTTAGGAATTAAATTAACAAGCCATGAAGTTCGATTTTTAAATCCCATTTCAGTGGCACAGAAGATGGCAGATGTCATGTGCTTTTTTAAAAAAAAAAAAAGAAAAAGAAAACAACTCATTTGGGTCAAATTTATCAAAAGAATATTGACTTCCAAACCAAAATTAATAGGTGCCCTTGAAAAAAATAACTCATCCTTAAAAGTTTTTAACTCTTCTGAGAGATAAATGAGTCATATTACAAAGAACCTACCTGCACATACTTTTTTTTTAAGTTCATCCTAAAACTTGTTTAAACAAGTAAGGATTCCAAATATTTGCATAGAGAGCCCTTCATCGGTGGTTAAAAAGAAAACAAGTTCTGGATTCTAATCCAAAGACGGACCACATGAATATGTGAACAATATTACCAAGATTTCAAGGTTTTATTTTACTACCTTTAAAAAAACATTTTTCTTTAAAAATAGGACTCCAAAACTAGCTGTCCTAAGGCATTAGCTTTACATGTGTTGCCAAAAATATTATTTTTAAAAATACAAGACAAGGTTGGGTGCCGTGGCTCATGCCTGTAATCCCAGCACTTTGGGAGGCAGAGGCCGCCGGATTGCTTGAACCCAGGAGTTTAAGATCAGCCTGGGCAACATGGCGAAACCCCATCTCTACAGAAAAAAAAACAAAAACAAAACAGCTGGGCATGAAGGCACACGCCTGTAAGTCCCAGCTACTCGGGAGGCTGAGATGGGAGGCTGAGATGAGATGGTTGAACCTGGGAGGCAGAGGCTGCAGTGAGCCGAGATTGCACCACTGCACTCCAACCTGGGCGAAAGAACAAGACCTTGTCTTAAAAAAATAAAAATATTCAGAAAGATAAAGGAAAAAAAGTTCATACTTTCAAAAAGATAAAGAAAAAACACAAAAAAACAAGACAAATATTTCAAAGAGGGACATTATAGGCAAAAACAAAGTTTTTAAATGAAGAGTTACTCTCTTTGTTTTATAAAAATACTTTTATAATAACTATGTTGCTCATTAGACACTTGGACCATGCCCCCTAACTTTGCCTTTCTTTTTGTTTATATATTTTCTCTCTAACTGGACTCCTTTCCTTCCTTCCTCTTTCCATCTCTCCCTTCCTCTCTCTCCTCTTCTTTTGTTCATTCAGTCAACACAGGCTCTTGTACATATGCCAGAAAGACTCATATGTCTCTCTGTTTTCAGGTTCACAGAATAATTACCTAGGAAAAACTCAGGAAATGTGTGTTAGGAATTATGATAGTTATATAATGCTTTAATATTGACCGTGAGGCCTATTTGCTTAGCTCTTTATAATTTTCAAAGCATTTTTCACATATACTATTTTGTTTGAGTTTCTTGAAAGGATCTTTCATAAAAAGAAAAATATATTTTTAATACTTCATTTAAGGATGATACTTTACCTCTAAGATTCACTAGCCGGGTACGGTGGCTCACGCCTGTAATCCCAACACTTCAGGAGGCTGAGGCGGGAGGATCACCTGAGGTCGGGAGTTCCAGACCAGCCTGACCAACATGGAGAAACCCCGTCTCTACTAAAAATACAAAATTAGCCTGGCGTGGTGGCGCATGCCTGTAATCCCAGCTACTCAGGAGGCTGAAGCAGGAGAATCGCTTGAACCTGGGAGGTGGAGGTTGCAGTGAGCCGAGATCGCGCCATTGCCCTCCAGCCTGGGCAACAAGAGCAAAACTCCGTCTCAAAAAAAAAAAAAATTCATTAAACACTCTCTATATACATCAGCTGAAATGCTGTGTTAGCCATCCTTCAAAAGTTCAGAACTTCAAAAGTTACAGCCTTCTGCAAGGAGTTTTCCATATCACACCTCTGCATCCTCTCCTCTCTTGCATTAGTTTAAACACACCTGGCTACCTGCTCCTGGAGAGCAAAGTCCCATGTCTTAGTCATCTTGGACTCCTACAAACACTTAACCTAACAACATAAATAAGGTTCGGCACACAGAAGGTACTTAATGAATGTTTGTTTGGCTTAGTAAAGTGGAAGAAAAACAAAGGCAAACAAAAGACCCATCTGAGGGTATTATGGCTCATCTCATTACCCTGATTTCAAAAGCTCAACCAGAGAGCACAGCTCTCCCCTCCCCATTCCCACTCCAGCAGTGAGCAAACATGGTGGATTTTTTGTCTCTATAGATTTTAGAAAGACAGCCTCCTTTGATCCTGCATTTTGTCTTCGCCCAGCAGCTACAGAAACAGTACTCTAATAAAAGTTCTGCTTCTTTTCCAGGCGGTTTTCTCGATTTTCACACTGTGTGTTTGGCAGATTGTGTTTGTGGGATAGTGGAAAACTGATCACATATCATTAACTTCAGAAGGACTTTGAAGTAGGGCACAGTTGGAGTCCACGCCCAGCTCAGCCACTTCCAGTTATACAGCCTGTGACCTTGAGCAACTTAAAGTGACATCCACTGGCAGTGCCTGGAGCTTCTGCCTCTGTGACAGGTAGAACACCCCCCTCCTGGGGCTGAGGTGAGGCTCAGAGGGGCACTGCAGAGGCGGAGACCTCACTTAGTGATAGCTCTTACTTGCGGAGGCTGCTGCTGTTGTTATGGTTCTGAAATTTCTTTCTTTCTTTTTTTTTTTCACGGAGTCTCGCTCTGTTGCCCAGGCTGGAGTGCAGTGGCATGATCTCAGCTCGCTGCAACCTCTGCCTCCCGGGTTCAAGCGATTCTTCTGCCTCAGCCTCCTGAGCAGTTGCGACTACAGGAGCCCGCCACCACGCCCAGCTAATTTTTGTATTTTTAGTAGAGACGGGGTTTCACCATATTGGCTAGGCTGGGCTGGAACTCCTGACCTTGTGATCCGCCCACCTCGGCCTCCCAAAGTGCTGGATTACAGGCGTGAGCCACCGCGCCCGGCAGAAATTTCGTTTTTGTGTTTTGTCTTTGCCCCAGTCCATAACTTTAAGGATGTCCTGCAGCAAAATGGAGGCGGGGTGATAAGAAAAAAAAGAGAAAGAGGAAAAGGAAGAAATGGATTGGGTATTAAGTGTGAGGCATTTCAGGAGTTCCTCAGGTTCCCTACAAGACTCAAAAATAACTGAGACAATTCACAGAGAGTGATACACTTTAGCAGCATGAAAGAAACTTATTGAGGGTAAGAAAATTCAAAGGCCAGGTGCACTGGCTCTTGCCTGTAATTCTAGCACTTTGGAAGGCCAAGGTGGGAGGATCACTTGAGCCCAGGAGTTCAAGACCAGCCTGGGCAAGATAGCGAGACCTTGTCTCTACAAAAAAAAAAAAAAAATTTTAATTAGTTGTGTATGGTGGCGCACGCCTGTGGTCCCAAGCTACTCGAGAGGCTGAGGTGGGAGAGTCACTTAAGCCTGAGTGGTCAAGACTGCAGTGAGCTATGATCATGCCACTGCACTCCAGCCTGAGCCACAGAGCAACACCCCATCTCAAAACAAACAAACAAACAAACAAAATGTAATTCCAAGCAGAACCTTTGATCTGTTTGCTGCAGCTTCTCACTAAACTGTCTTCATTTTCATGAAATGTAGATTTCACATTCATGAGCCCTTCCAGCCCAAGGTGTCGGTGGTGAGCCATAAATTATTGGACTGCACTAGTATTTTACAAGATGTCACCTCAAATGAGCAGCTCATGTCTGAGTCTTAGGATCTGTGGGGCCGTGACTTCAAAATCAGAACCACATCTGAACGTTTTCAAGCGGCAGGGCCACTGGGACCAGCCCAGCGGGAGGGAGATGGAGAAAATCAAGGGGTGAGGCACTGCTCCCAGCTGCAGCAACAAGGCCTCCAGACTGAAACCACTCCTTCTAGAACCTCCTGGTCTGGAAAGACTGGTTAGCTGAGAGTCAAGACACACTCTCCAAGTCTCACACCCAAGCCCTCCTTTGCTCCACCCTAAGAAGTCAGCACTGAGGCATCAGGGGCATCAGCAGTTTTTCCCTTTCCAAGACACTTCCATTACCTGAACAATGAAATTATGCCCATATTTAGAGAAAAAAATGACTGTTGAAAGCTGTATTGTCCCATTAAATAGATCTGACTAACAATTAGTTGGCTTAATGCAGAATCAAATTGAGTTTCTTTTTTCCTAAGCAGATAGAAACTCTACAAGAGTATTAATGAAAGAATACAATGATTATGAAATATTTCACAGGAACGCAGACTGAGGAATTCAACAGATTAAAAATAAGTAATAACTCAGATAGAAAAGGGTTTACAAGTAGAAAAGGTGAATTCTCACACTGCAGGTTTAATCTTCTCTTGCGTCATTGTGGTATACTGGATTCAAATCTAGCTTAACAACTTAACTAGCTGTGTGACCTTAGGCAAGCCATTTAAATATTTTAACCTCAGCTTCCCATCTGTAAACTGGGAAGTTTGTTATGAGGCTTGAGATAACAAACATCCTATACAAGGCACATCACAGGTATTTGCTGGGTAATGGTAACTATTATTAACCACAGACCTGATATTTTTATAAAATATACAAGTTAAATTTAATAACCATGTAAATGTTACCTGCCGTATATTAAGCTAAACTAAATCTTGCTTTGCAATAATTTCCCAGAAAAGTGTTTAGACTATCTACGCTATGAGTCACTCGAGCTCTGGGCCTGTTTTCTCAGACTCTCCCTTGTCTCTCGCATCCAATTCTTAGCTGAAGCTGTCACTCCACCTTGGCAATACCTACTTTTCCATCCACTGCCCTCACCCTGGTTCAGACTTTCATTCCCTCCCTCCTTCACTGGTGCAATGGCTTCCTTAAGCCAACGCCTAAACAGTCCAGAAGCTCAGTTATGATCGTCTCACTTCCCTGCTCCTCCAATGGAGGAGACTTTCAATGGCTTCAGTGAAAACCTGCACCAGCTTCCCTCTGCCTATCCAAATCCCTCTCCGGGGCATTCAAGGTCTCCAATGCCTTGGTCAAAAAAGGATGCTTCTTCCTTTCATCTTACTGCCTCCCTGCTCAGAGAGAATGCTCTAAAAGGAGATCACTCCACAGGCTTCGCAGACTTTTCTCATGCTCTTCTCTCCCTCTGGAAGGCTCTCTGCCCACCCATCCTGACACAGCTGAAATACTCCAAAGTCTAGTTCGACACCACTTCCTTTATAAAGTCTTCCCAGTGCCCCCACGACAGATGTTCTCTCACCTCCTTGTGAAGTCTCTGAAGTCACGTACACCCCTCCTGTGCATTCCGCTTTTGCGTGCTAGTCTTCGTGTACTTATCTTCCTTGGAAGGGCCTACACTCCTTTCAAGGCTATAGATTTCCACCTTGATCTCCCCTGACACTTAACACAGAATGCAGTCAATGCTCGGTAAATACTTGCTGAATTAAGGAATTAATGGAATTTGAGATACTTGCATGGTGTAATTACAGGCCTGTCCATTCTAAAAGTCAGGCTGTGAAGGCACAGGGAAAACCAAGGTGAGGATCCTTGGGTCCTCAGGCCAACCCAGCCCTAAGTGGATTCTAGGATCTTCGGCACGTCCTCAGCTTCCTGTCTCTGAAGTGTGCGTGTGGGGTTTCTGCCTAGGCTAAGTGATCCTTAGGGGTCCCCCCGCTCTAAAATTCAGGCAAATTGACCTGTTTGTCTCATAGTAAGAAATAAGCTTCTCTTAAAACCTAATTTAAGACTAACTTTAAAATGTATATGAAATAATGATCACACGTATCTCAGTTTTGAAATCATGAGATCTGAAGAAAAATAAGCATTAATATTATAACCACATATTTCTGAAACTTAATGACTATTTTCTGCTTTTAATCCTCCCACAAATTCACCCTTTGATGGGTGAAAGAAAGATCTAACTGTGAGACTTTGTTACTTTGGTAACAAATTTCACTATTTATAATTTGTTTTAATGACAGGAATAAGACTAGAGTAATTCTGCTGTAATTGAAAACAGTATTAATATAATGTCCTATCCAAGAAGAATCCAAAATTTACATTTCAAAACATGTACATGTCTATTATTTCATTATCAAGGTTGTAACATTTACCAAATGTTAACAAAATTAAGTAGTTGCAGATTCCATTCAATCTAAAACAAAGACACAAAGAACAGGCAGGTGGTCGGGGGAAAAAGAGGGAATTAGGATACAATGAGATCTAATACTGTCCTAAAAACGGGTAAGTGCTGTTCGTGGAAAGGACAGAGAGAGAGAGAGATGTTTTAAAGTCATTTTCAAAGGAAAACTAAGAGTTGGGCCCTCCACACATTCAAATTTCTTTATTCAGGGAAGGGCTAGATACAAAACACTCATCTCAAAAATCACCAATCTATTAATAATTCAGCCATAAAGTAGCAGTTTTTGAAATAAATGAGTTTAAAGTCAACCAATAGTTTTTATACTAGTTTTCATGCTAAAAAAAAAAAAAGAAAGAAAGAAAAGAAAACCACAAAAACCTTTATTTAGAAAACCTTCGGGTCAGAAAAATACTTATGAAATTCTTAATCATCATTCACTTAGCAGAGAGCAGTGGCTCCCTTGGGCACAGAGGGCACCCTGCTTCTACAAAGTGCACGCCACAGCCAAACATATCCCTCCACACAAAACCAGAATGCCACCAGAAAAACTGCGACATGCCCTGCCTTCAGGCGGTCGCTATTATTTGAAAACGCAGAAGTCAGCATTTGTGGGCTATTTTGTAGTCAGTAGCACCACTGCAGGCTGGGTCAGGCTCGAGAGGAACCTCCATTGCCAGGATCCCCGGAAAGAATGACCGCCTCCCGACTCAAGCCCTGAGCTTGACGCCCTGCTGCCGGGCAGAGCAACATTAATGAGAAGAAAAAACATCCTTCCTCAAAGTCAGGTAATTTTTCACTTGGGTCTCTTTCCCCTTCCCAGAGAGATGTGAGACTTGACAAGTTTGTAAGTAGGCTTTAAGTTGGAAAAACAGAGCACGGGATGATACTACACAAGGAAAAAACATGGAGCCTGCCCAAAATTAAATGTTTCAATGGGGAATCCTAATAAAACATGTACCTTGATGCAGTTCATTAACCACTTAATTTATTAAAGTTTTACTCCCCTACAAAAGGTATAAGAAGCCAAGGGAGTGAAATATTCGATTAATAGTACTGATTATTGTCTATTTAAAAGATAAGAAATCCAAGCTAGCAAAAGCATAGTTATAAATAATAATCAAAATAAATACTTGGTTCATGAAAACGCCAAAAAGAGCTACTAAAGAGTCCTTCGCATTCTATTCTGACTTGGATTTAAACTGTGTGTAACCCACACATTTAAAGGATGTGCATCTCAAATCCTGGAGGACTGCGGGAGAAAATTTAAATTTCAGATTTAAATGGCTGGCAAAATTTTAAAACAAATGTAATGAAAACCCAAGTTTTCATTCCTTCTATTGCTTGGCACATTTTCCCTGGAAATCCCCAGACACATTTTGTTCAGGAAACAAAGAACTCCAAGATTGAGACAATTCTTTGCTAACTCAAAAAAAAAAAAAAAAAAAAAAGCGAAAATAGATTTTCAGGATGCCCCATAAATAAATAAATGAATCTAAGCAGAAAACAGGTTGCAACTCGAGTAGTCCCTGCCTTCAAAACTGCTTGCAAAACAAAACTCCCTGGAGCGCATTCAGGTTGCTCCTCCCAGGCCTAGGGCCACAACGCCTGGTAAATAACGTCCCGGCGCTCAGGGCCTCTTTCCCAAAAGCCCGACGTGGGAACAACTAGCAGGGGGCGGGGAGGTGGGGCGGGCTGCAAAACGCGCACGGCTCACGTGGGCATCTAGAGTCCAGCTCCCGAGACCCGGTCAAAGCAGGGACAGGATCTCTTCCCCACCCACCCAAATGACGCCCTCGGTCTGTTTCCGCTGGGATCCGGAGAAGCTGACCCTCTCACCGGGGGGTCTTCCCGGGGCGCCTAGGCCAGGGCGGGCCCCCAGCGTCGTCCTCTCCCACCCCCCCACTCCCCTGCCCACACATTCTGGATCAAAGCAGACATGCGGCCGGCGCTCTGCGATCCAAGGCACACTGGGGTCTTTCATCCGGTGTTTTTAAAAAGGAGGAAACAAAAGGCTCAGAGGCAGGGCCCCAGGTGCGCTCGCCCGCGGGGGCTGCGGCGCGGACGACCGAAGGTAACAGGCACGTCCCGGCCGAACTTCGAGACCCGGGCCCGGCAGCCGCCCCGGCGGGGAAGTTTCGTTTCCCGGACAGGGGAAGCCGAAGCGCCTCCTCGGGACAGGACCCCGCGCCGCCGGGACGCGCAGCCTTGATACAAACGTCCTTGGGTGGCCGAGGAGTCCAGGAGTCGTTGCAGTCGTGGTCTCGGGGTTACTGGGGATTGGGGGTGAGCCGGTAGAGACTGCGGAGCCCCGAGCACCACTCGGCCACCAGACAGGACCGGGGCCCCGCTCCTTTCCTCTTTTACTTTGATTACGGTTGGAGAGGTTGGGTTTTGTGGTCGCAGCCCCACCTCGCCTGACCTCCCATTCGCGGGCTGGGACAAAGGCGGCTGCAGCCGTGTCCAGCAGGCAGGGGACAGCCCCGCGCGGGCCCGACGCCCCCTCTGACCACCCGCCCGGGCTCGCGGGAGGGGAGAAAGGTACGACCGAGTCCCTGTTCGCAGGACAGGGGCCAACCTGTCCCCGCACGCGTCAGGACACCCGGTCCTGCTCCCAGCGCGGCCGGGAAGTTCTTTCGGGACCTGGGGCAAAAAAACCTTTCCACCTTCGGGACCCGAGTCTCCCAGTCGTCCAGAGGAGGACGGTCCCTCCCTGTCCCGCGAGCCCCGCAGCCCGCGCTCTCCGGGCAGGTACCCACCAGTAGCCGTCCGAGTTCTGGTCGGTGATCACGCCGCGCCGAGAATAGTACATCCTGCTGGTGCCCCCGCCGCCGCTGGTCACCTCGTAGCGCAGGTCCGGGCCAGACTCGGCGCGGATCATGCGGCCCAGAGTGTTGATCCGCGGGTGGGAGCCTCCGTTGCAGCTCATGTCGGCGGGCAATCGGGAGAGCGGCTCAGCGCCGAGGCATAAGCGAGGCGGGCCGGCGCGGAGAAAGCGGAGGGGGCCAAGGATAGGCGGACGGCCGGGGAACCGGGCGGGAGTGCGGAAGGCTCGCGAGGTCGCTGCTCGCTACCTGGGCCCTCCCGAGGCCGCTGCGAGCGCGGAGACGGCGACGGGCCGGGGGCAGGAGCGGGAGGAAAGCTGTGGCTCGGAGGGCGGCAAGGGCGCAGAGGAGCTGCGTCGGAGCTGGGTGTTGGTGTTGGTCGGCGGCGGAGCGAGTCTCCTCCCCGCTGGCACTGGGCGCCTAGGCCACACCTGGCCGGTTTCTTCCCAGGGTGGGGTGCGGCCGCCGCGCCTTCCCCGCCCCCCCGCGGGTGTCACCGACGCGCTCCGGCCGCCCCTCCCCACCTGCGCCCGCCGCCCGCGACTCCGCCCTGCGCCACCGAGGCCTGAGTAACACCGGGCGGGGCGGGGGCGGGGTCCCCGAGACCCAAGCGCCCTGGGCGAAGCCACCGCGGGGAGGACCTGCGCTCGCGGGGGCTGCTGCGCTCTGCGCTGGGGCCTCTCGGGCTGGGAATGCGTGGCCCGGCTTTTGAGGATTTCCTCGGTCCCCGGGCGGAAATAGCTGGAATGGAGGGGCCTCTCGATTGGAGACTTACTGGTCAAATATTTACTTTTGTTGATCACTGGAAACGCTACCTACCACGCATTGACTAGGACCACAGTGAGGAGGGAACGCTTTAGATGATAGAGTTTTGTTTGGGGGCTTTTTTTTGTTTTGTTTTATTCCAGGAATTCAGGAAATTGCCCCAGAAGTCCGATTTCTGATGTGTAAAACCTTTTTTTACAGAAAACCACGACTTCCTGGAAAAGTCTTCACCGTAAATATTAATCTCTTTGGCATGAAGAGGAAAACACTGCAGCTAATTTTTCATGGGATAACAAAAATATAAACTGCAATTTCTTTTATTTTTTCCCTTTCGATGGTCTTTTTAAACGAGGAGTAAAGATTTCAACGCCAGGTCCATTTTCCAAATTTTGTACCAGAACCTTGAGGATGCTTGTCTCTCGCGCGCTTCTCCGCAGACCGAACCCTCTCCGGAACTCAGAGCTGTTCACCCAAGTCAGCGGAGGAGGCCTCCTGGGACTTGAGCCTGAGGGTGGCGAAGAACCCTAGGCAGAGATCATCAACTTGGTACCGATGAGTGACGCGGAGCTTGAACATTCCAGCGACTTGCTCCAGGGCCACTCCCAGTTAAGAGGCTGAGTGTTAACTGCAAGAGGCTGAGTGTTAACTACGCCGTTGGCTCCAGGAACCGAACCGGGTTTGGATACAGACCCAGTCACACCATCCATGAAAAGCTGTTTCTATAATATGAAAAATTGTTAAATGACGCTTTAGTAAAAGCCATTTAAAGATCTTTTCTAATAAATTTTTCATCTTTCCAAACAATGCCGCTAATTACCTTCTGATACAGTGCGTTTCCAAAATGTTTATGAACTGAAAACAAAAATAAAAAACTACATTTTTATGTTGTAAAGGGAGTGGGGGGGACTTTCTAAAATTTGTCGTATTATAGCACTTCTCATGACAACTTGACCCTTTAGGCATAATTTTTGACAAAATGTCTTGTTCTTTTTCTTTTTACAGCTGAACGTCTTAAATTCAAGGAGTAAACACATATAATGAGATAAAAGTTTATCACTGTTAGCACAACCAATAATTTGCATCGTAGTCTCAATTTCCTCGAATCTTTAATAAAACCAAAGTGGTCAAGTGTTTAAATGATTATACAGATTGAGTACCCCTTATCCAAAATGCTTGGGACCAGAAATATTTTGGATTCTGGATTTTCTTGGATTTTGCAATAGTTGCATAGACGTAACGAGAGATCTTTGGGGATGGAACTCAAGCCTAAACATGAAATTTATTTATGTTTTCTATATGCCTTATACACATGGCCTGAAGGTAATTTTATACAATATTTTAGATAATTTTGTGCATGAAACAAAGTTTTGACTGCACTTTGACTGCAAGTCATCACATGAGGTCAGGTGTGGAATTCGCCACTTGTGGTCATCATGTCAGTGCTCAGAAAGTTTGGATTTGGGAGCATTTTGGATTTCAGATTTTCAGATTAGGGATGCTCAACCTGTACAAACACTGATCTATAGACAAGACGGTGGTTTTTCTCAAACAGAATCAATGGCTGGAAGTCAGCCTCTGCACAAACAGCCCATAATATCCATTGGTGGAGGAGAGAAAGACATGCATGGAGGGAAAATGTCAGTGCATAATGTACAACATTTCATTTAGGATGTTTTCCCTCTATGCATCTCATTTGTTCAGCAAATAATTATAACCTAGGATATGGAAATACTCTGCAACATACAAAGATAAATAGGGTCCAGTCACTGCCCTTAAATATATTATAGTAAAACTTTGATTTAAGAAATTCAGGGGCCCGTGCGGTGGCTCATGCCTGTAATCCCAGCACTTTGGGAGGCAGAGGCGGGTGGATCACTTGAGGTCAGGAGTTCGAGACCAGCCTGGCCAACATGATGAAACCCCATCTCTACTAAAAATACAAAAATTAGCTGGGTGTGGTGGCAGGCGCCTGTAATCCTAGCTGTTTGGGAGGCAAAGGCACGAGTATCACTTGAATCCAGGAGGTGGAGATTATATTGAGCAGAGATCGTGTCATTGCACTGCAGCCCAGGTAACAGAGCAAGACTCTGTCTCAAAAAAAAAAAAAAAAAAAAAATTCAGGGATTATTCTTCCCTAATGTGTAATAAAGAGGCTACACAATTGCACGGTAGAATTATCCTTTTAAAAAAAACCCACATATCTATTAACCACCCCCCCAGTGGTAACAAAAGCTCTTGTTAGCCAAGGGTCCCCTTACGGTCATAGGAACCAGGCTCCACACAGACCCAAACACCACCCAGACTCACAAAACTGTTCAATCTGCAGGCAAAACAGAGGAGGAGGCGAAGAGCCCACGCCACCAATCACACCTCTGGCTGCGTTGCTTCCTCACCCATCTTACTGCTTCCTGGGCTTTTCCAGGCATCCCCAAGAACACGAACGGCTTCCAGCTACCAAACATGCCTGCTCTAGGAAGACAGTGGCTTTCATTTATCTTTCTCTAAGGGTGATAAAGAAAGATAAGAGGATAAAATAAACAGATTGACATGCCCGACAGATGGAACACCCCCCACCTCAACACACACCCACACACATGCACATACACACACACACACATCAGTTGTCCAGGTTGGCTCATCACACAGTGAAGAGCGAGGATAACTTGCCCATAGTTATAATCTTAGTGCTACAATTTACTTATGCAAGAGCTCAATTTCTTCATGTGTATAATGGAAATAACACTTGCTCTGCCAACCTTCCAAATCCACAGTGAGGGTCAAATGAGATAAAATACGTGAACATTCTTGAACACTGTGAAACATATAAAGCTTAAGGTACCACCTGTTAAGCCAAAAGTTCTTTGCTGGATGCGAAATTTTAACCGTTAATGTTCCTGTCTTTATCCCACATGTAAATCAGTAAACCTCCCTCTTGGACACATTTAAGATGCATTCATTTAGAAAGCAGTTATTGAACATCTACCATGTTACACAACAGATTCAATGCTAGACACATGAAGATGAATAAAGCATGACTCTTTTTCTGCAGGATATCAAAGTCTGCAGTAGTAAAACAAATAATTACAATACAACATTAAGTATGCTATAATGAAGGTATATTTATAGAATTTTGAAAGCGCAGCAAAGAGGTTTAAAAGTAGCTTGTTTTCTTACAACTTGGTTTAAAAAATCAGAATCCAAAGTCTGGCAGAGTCTTCACTGGCTGACCTAAGGTCAGCTATTTTTTCCCTGCCACTCATAGATAGCTCCCCTTGTACTGATAAAACAGATCACTGACAGGCAACTTTCTCTCTGGCTGACCTTAGAAATCACCTTGCAGTTAGGAAAGACGAATCAGTCATATTCAGAGCAGATTTTTAAAAGAAAACGACACTTTGATTTCAGTGAGATTAAGAAGAATCATTTACTTGCTCAAAATCCCATGGGAACTCTCTATATCTTTGTGTTGGTAAATGATACCTCTTCATCACAAGAAGATTTATAGCCCATGAGTTAAAATAACTGTTCTGCCTAACAGAGGAGTAGTTCTGGGGTTTTTGTTTTGTTTTGTTTTGTTTGAGACAGAGTCTCACACTTGTCGCCCAGCCTGGAGTGCAGTGGCATGATCTTGGCTCACTACAACCTCTGCCTTCTGAGCTCAAGTCATCCTCCTGCCTCAGCCTCCCCAGTAGCTGAGACTATAGGCGCACACCACCACACTGGACTAATTTTTGTATTTTTTGTAGATACAGGATTTCACCTTGTTGCCCAAGCTGATCTGGAACTCCTGGGCTCGAGCAATCCACCCACCTTGGCCTCCCAAAGTGCTGGGATTACCGGCATGAACCACAGTGCCCGGCCAAGGAGTAGTATTTTAATAAGTCAAAATTACAGGCAGAAGCTAGGATTGGAACCATAATGTGAAGGAAAAGAAAATGCCTGTTAAAATGTCAGACAATTAAAATCTTAATAATAAAATGGATATGTATATTTTACTCTTTCTTTTCTCTTCCATTTGTCTGAATAAATTAGAATCCTCCAGAAATAATGAATCTAGGATCTGAATTATCACAAAAATAAGATTGGTCTCTCCTAATTAAAATTGTCAAAATGAAGAAAGCTGTTTGACAAAGCTCGTTTCAAAAATAGGAAAATGTTTGTAAAATATATACATTAACCCCAAACTATCTTTGGTTTACTTGGTTTAAGTGTCATTCAGGAACAGGGGAGTTTGTCTGTTTGCAGTGATTTTTCATTTTTGCTGGGGGAGGGTACTTAACTTTGTGGAAATTAAATAGCTCAAAGGAACTTCTCATTTTTTGTCACTGAAGTGATGAGTTTTTATTGTTATTGTTGTTGCCATTTGGTTTGTGTTTGGCACAGGTAAATTGTGCTATCCATTGTGCTTTAAGAATATGTTTTTTGGGCCGGGCACGGTGGCTCATGCCTGTAAGCTCAGCACTTTGGGAAGCCGAAGCAGGAGGATAACTTGAGCCCAGGAGTTTGAGACCAGCCTGGGCAATATAGTTAGACCCCCTTCCTACAAAAATACAAAATACAAAACTTAGCCTGGCATGGCCGTATACACCAGCTACTGGGGAGACTAGAGTGGGAAGATCGCTTGAGCCTAGGAGGTCGAGGCTGCGGTGAGCCAAGATTGAGCGATTGCACTCCAGCCTGGGTGACAGAGTGAAACCCTGTCTCCAAAAAGAAAAAAAATAGAGTAAGTTTTTGACTGCTTTTCATTGGATAGCATGGATATTGGGGATTCATCCATACTTTCCTGCCTGATCCTGTTTTCATGTAGCACCCAGATTTGCAAGATGCGAGGCTGGAGGTTAAAGTTCCCGGTGAGGGCAAGTACCGCTATGGACCACAGAGGAGCCACTCACACCCATGGCCAAGTGACATCTAAAGCTAAACAATAACTCCCACTTACTTTAGTGGGTAAGCCACACAGTCAATAAATATAATACAACAGCCAAGTAAGTTTACCTTTTGAAAATACTTTGGAAGTAATTTTCTAAGCTTATCATGATTGTGAGGGACTCTCAATCTATAGAACATGCTAGGATTGGAACACTTACTCAAACTTATATATATACAAATGCAAGATGCAGATTATTGCTAGTAAACCCAGTTATCAGCAAACACCACATGGAGATATAATGTGCTAATGGTTACGTGAAGAAACTTTTGAATAGCTAATCATCCTTTACTGAAGGCACTCAACATTTATATTCCATAGAGAATTTCAGAAACAGAAGCTTGCTTAAAACATTTTTGCACCAGTTATTTAAAAACTGGTAAAGCCTCAGAACTCATTCTCCAAATGAAACCCCCTGAGCATGGCCACCAGTGGAAACAGATCATGGTGGTGCCAGAGTGGTTGTAGGACACTTCCCACCCGCTGCACCTGGACCACACGTGCTCTGTCCAGGAAAGCATGTCCCCAATGTAAGCACTATATAAACCAGAACTCACCTTTTAATAAAGAGAAAATAGTGAGTCCTGGAGAAGTTAAGAAACGTCCGTGAGTTACTTGATACCTAAAATAGCAGAATTCCATCTGTTTCTAGTCTCATGCCCTTTCCATTATGTCAAAATTCCTGTCCCATCAGTCATGAAAGAACACATTTCTGAGCAATGATTTGGTATCAACTTGAAACCAAGAAATTATCCCATCAATTGTTATTTTCTTACTTTTTTTCCGGAGACAGGGTCTTGCTCTGTTGCCCAGGCTGGAGTTCAATGGGGCAATCCGGATTCACTACACCCTAACTGTCTAGGCTCAAGCGATTCCCCCACCTAGCCTCCTGAGTAGGTGGGACCACAGACATGTGCCACCACATCCAGCTAATTTTTTTATTATTGGTAGAGGTGAGGTCTCACTATGTTGCCCAAGCGGGTCTTGAACTCCTGGCCTCAAGTGATCCTCCTGCCTCAGCCTTCCAAAGTGCTGAGTTTACAAGCATGAGCCACTACACCCAACCTCAATTGTTATTTTCCTCCACTAGAGTAATAAGCCTGCTTTGCAGAAGTCACACCAAAATGCATTACAGTTATTATTGAATTAATGAATTTATTTATTTATTATCTATTTTTAGAGATCTCACTATGTTGCCCAGGCTGGCTTCAAACTCCTGGGCTCAAGTGATCTTCCCACATCCAGCTACTCTTATTTTTTTTAGTTGTATTCCCAAAGCTGTGGTGATTTTCTTGGTGTCCTCAAATTACAGTGCATGTATTTGCATGTTTTGTTTTGTTTTGTTTTGTTTGAATGTAGCTTCCATTGTTAAGAAAAAATGAAATTAGAGATTCATATACTAAACATCATGAAATCAAAATGGACACTAAGACATAAATGATCTGACTTTGGATGATTGTAATGCCAACGAAATGTAACCTGGTTTCCAAAGTGACCACCTTTCAAAATCTTAGGCATCAGCAACAACAAATTTCATAAACCATTTGTTTCTTATCATCATGAGCTAGTTATTGCACATACATTGTTTCCCTGCTACAGATAGAGGTGTAGGTATACGGGAGACTAAAGAATAAGAAAAACGTCCAGATTTCTGTCTTCACTGATCTTAACATTTAAAGCAGGAGACAAAATATCAAACAACCCACTGGTTATAATAGCAACACACAGAAAATGAACATCTAGGCCAGGTACAGTGGCTCACGCCTATAATCCCAACACTGGGAGGCCAAGGCAGGCAGATCACTTGAGGACAGGAGTTTGACAGCAACCTAGACAACATAGCGAGACTTCATCTCTACAAAAAATACAAAAATTAGCTAGCATGGTGGCGCGCACCTGTGGGCCCAGCTACTCAGGAGGATCACCTGAGCCTGGGAGGCAGCGGCTGCAGTGAGCTGAGATCACCACTGCACTCCATCCTGGGCATCAGAGCAAGACCCTGTCTCAAAGAAAAGAAAAAAGAAAGTGATCATTTAAATAGAGCAGGAGCTGGGGGAAGGTCATCTTTAGTTTCAAGTTTCAACTGACTCCCCTCATCTAGGGTCCCAAAAAGTTTGGGGTTTTTTGGTTTGTTTTTGTTTTTATGGTTGTTTTGTTTTTTTGTTTGTTTGTTTTTGCTTTTTTTTTTTTTTTTTTGTCAGAAGCTTGGTAAGATCACAGATCACAGGGAAGAAACCCTATTCAAACTCCTCATCTTATCCTACACTGGCTAAGAGAAGTGAGGCCATGAGAAAGAACCTGCATTACTTGCCAAGGCCCAAGTCTGTAAAGGGCAAAGCCCAGATTGGAGCTGAGAGCTCACACAGCAAATCAATTAATAGGCTTGCTTAGAAGGATGTACCTGAAGTTAGGATGTTTTTTCCTCCTGCTTATAAAAGTCTATGTATTTGCTGTAAAATACTCAGAAAAGGCAGAAGGGAATGGAGAGAAGCAAAGAAAAGCAAAGCAAATTATCAACCAGACAAGGTGATCATTCTAAATATTTTTGGAAGGTTCCTTCCAGTTTTTTCCCCTAATGAACTTTTTAACCAACCAATGTCAGGTTATATACAAGTTTGTATTCAGCTCTTTTTTTTTTTTTTTTTTTTTTTGGAGACAGAGTCTCGCTCTGTCACCCTGGCTGGAGTACAGTGGTATGATCTTGGCTCACTGCAACTTCTGCCTCCCAGGTTCAAGCAATTCTTCTGCCTCAGCCTCCCTAGTGGCTGGGACTACAGGCTCCTGCCACCACGCCCGGCTAATTTTTGTATTTTTAGTAGAGACAGGGTTTCACTATGTTGGCCAGGCTGGTCTCAAACTCCTGACCTCAGGTGATCCACCTGCCTCAGCCTCCCAAAGTGCTGGGATTACAGGTGTGAGCCACCACGCCCGGCCTCAGCTTCTTAGTTGATCATAATATCATGAGCATTTTCCAACCTCGTGTAAATGTCTTGTTAGCATTGCTTTTAAAGGTGCATAATATTTCCTGGTGGCATTTGATTTTTTAAAAAGGCTCTGAAAGTGACAAGGTACAGATCCTGGAGCTTTTTTTTTTTTTTTGAGACAGGGTTTTGCCGTGTTGTCCAGACTGGTCTCAAACTCCTGAGCTCAAGCGATACCACCGAAGTGCTGGAACTACAGGCATGAGCCACCACACCCAGCCGGTTCTGGAGCTTTCCATGCGAGTGATCCACTCCTGTTCTAGAACTTTTCACATCAATGGCAAATAGCATTCGCTATGGATGGGAAACAGGAAGGGGTGAGGCAGTGGCAATCACTGAGTGGCAGGAGTTACAACCACCACCAAATGGTGTTTAGGAAAACAATCCAGCCCTGCGGGGTGCAGACAATTCCTTGTAGAATCTTCCCAGCAATCCTTCCTTAGACCTCAATGAAGGGTGGGTTGCAAACGTCAGAAACAGGAGAGTTTCCTCCTTAAACTTTGAGAAATTCACCAGCCATTCATACTTAGGAAACTCTAAGAAAACCGGCATACTTCTACTTTCTTTAACCAGCTCCTCACAATTTAATAAATTAACTTCCAAATGAGAAAGCATCCCTTCAGCAAGAGCTGGATTCAAGAAAAAGTCGTGCAAATCAGGAGAACAGCCCCAGGGATTGTTTCTTCTCCAATAATAAGTTAATATACGTGACAGCAGATTTAACCTGATTCAATGTGTGCATTTTTTACTAATTTGCAGAATTTTAATCTGAAACATTTAAACCATGCTGGCTTGAGACAGAAACATTTCCAATATAGGAAGAAGTTATAGCACAGTTCCACAGCAGTTTCATCAAACCCGTGAAGCAGTTCTGTCTTGCAAAGGTGGGTGTGGAGCGGCACACTTCACTCTCGTTAAACCTGTCCGACGGCTCCTTGAGTTTTAACTGCTTAGCAGTTTGGCTTCAGGTGGAAATGAACAAAGCAACTCGGAGTCCTTTCCCACCAAGGCACACAGAAGAAACATCACCATCATCTCTAAACAGGTTTTTATTTTGCTTTACTGAATAAGGAAAAAATAATCTCATGATCTAAAATTGGAATTTCTGTGTTCTTAAAACAAAAATCAATATTTTTATTTCATGTGTCTCTGAGACAATAGAAAACATACAAAGGAGGCTTTTGAAAACCTCTAACTACAGAGGGGCTTGTCTTTAGAAGAGGGACTTACATTAATATAAAATATACCTTGATCCCAGAGTTCCCAAAAATAAGTTAAAAAATGAGTGTGTTCATATAAACATAGATGTGGAAAGAAGGCAAAATATATTGTAAAGTTGTTTAGAAAGCAATTTTTAAACCATATATGTAGTATGGTCAGACTTTTTTTACACTGAAAATTATATGTTAGAAGAGACAGATAAAGGATCTTGAGGCATAGGGGTTATCACTGGAAGATGGATATACAGGATTATTTGTTAGGGTATGCCTTTCGAATCATAGATTTTAAAAATAAAGATATGTGATTTTGTTGGGAAAAGGTAATTTCCTTTTCCTTACCAAAGTGAGGTATTGGGATCTCACCAATATCTGAGTCTTTAAAATCTGATATCACTATGAGAAAAATAATTGAATTGTAATTCAATTCATTTGTACAGCACCTTACCGGGTGTTTTGGGGTTTTCTGCACAGATATTTTATTGCAGTAAAATATAAATAACACAATTTATCTTTTTAATCATTTTAAGTGTACAGTTCTGTGATCTTAAGTACATTCACATTGTTGTGCAATCATCACCACGATCCATTTCTAGAACTTTTTCATCATCTCAAATAGAAACTGTCCCCATTAAACACTAACTCACAGCTAGGCCCGATGGCACACACCTGTAATCTCAGCACTTTGGGAGGCTGAGGCAGGCGGACCACTTGAGCTCAGGAGTTTGAGACCAGCCTGGATGACAGGGCAAGCCCCCGTCTCTACAGAAATACAGGTGTGCACCTGTAGTCCCAGCTACTTGGGAGGCTGAGGCGGGCGGATCACTTGAGCTCAGGAGGCGGAGGTTGCAGTGAGCTGCGACTGTACTCCAGCCTGGGCGAGAGAGTGAGACCCTGTCTCAAAAACAAAAAAACAAAAACAAAAACCACAAACTCCCCATTCCCCAACTTCAACCACCCCTGGTAACTGCCATTCTACTTTCTGTCTCTATAATATATTTGACTACCCCAGGGACCTCATATGAACACGGAATCACACAGTATTTGTGCTTTTGTGTCTGGCTCATTTCACTTAGCATAACGTCCTCAAGGTTGATCCTTGTTATATCATGTGTCAGAATTTCTCTCCTTTTTAAGGCTAAATAACATTTCACTGTATGAATACACCACATTTTTTTTTACCAGTCATCAATTGATGGACATTTGGATTGCTTCCACTTTTTGGATACTGTAAATAACACTGCTATGTTGTTTTTAAGTAGTAAAATTACTATAAACTTTTCCTTTTTTTTCTTTTTTTTTTTGGGACAGAGTCTCACTCTTGTTGCCCAGGCTGGAGTGCAATGGCACAATCTCGGCTCACTGCAGCCTCCATCTCCCGAGTTCAAGCGATTCTCCTGCCTCAGCCTCTGGAGTATCTGGGAATACAGGCACGTGCCACCACACCGGGCTAATTTTTTTTTTTTTGTATTTTCAGTAGAGATGGGTTTTACCATGTTGGCCAGGCTGGTCTTGAACTCCTAACCTCGGGTGATCCACCAACCTCGGGTGATCCACCCACCTCGGCCTCCCAAAGTGCTGGGATTACAGGCATGAGCCACCGCGCCCAGCCTTAACTTTCATTTTCATTACAATTTCCCCATCACCCAGTGTTAAGAACTGTCTTTTTTTTCCCCTTTGGCTTAGTAGTCTGTTACTATTATTAATTTATCCCCACACTCTCCCCTAGTTGAGTAAAGATTTTCTCAATACATTCATATCAGTTATTCTATTAATTTCATTGCTCAAAGCATTCTTTCCTGGCATCTTCTGGCTGGCTCCAATCTGAACTGGTTGCTCTCCAGACCTGACCTGCTTCTCAGCTGCTGAGGTGGGGTCTCCTTCACCGTCATCCCCTCTGCCTGCTGCGTGTTGGTTGGATCCTCTCTTTTCTGGGTCCAGTGTCTTTTGCTTTCTTGGTTTACTCCTTCAGTGGGGTGGCACACATCTTCCACTGACATGGGAGGTAAAGTTTTTGAGAACCTGTGTGTTTGAAAGTGTCTTTATTCCACTACAAACTTCATTGATCATCTGGCCAGATATCAAATTTAAGTTTGGAAATAATGGCCCCTCAGACTATTGGAAGCATTGCTCCATTATCTGTTGTTTGCAGAATTGCTGTTGAGAAGCCCAAGGCCACTCTGGTCCGTTGTACATTTTATAAAACCTTCAGTGGTGAGGATGTTCCATCACTTTTAGAACATAAATTTGGAGGCATTCAACCTAGATACCCCCTTGTTCGGTCCCCAGTGCAGGAGAAATAGAGTATATTATTATTCTCAGAGAGTTGCTGTGGCCAAGACAAAGGCTCAAAAGATGATACTGCTTGTCCCTGTCATTTCCTCCCCTGCCCTTTCCTCTTCTCATGTTGAAGGTATTTTTTTTTTCTCACTGGAGGAGGATAAATAAACTTTCTATTATGCTGAAAGAGCAGGATTAAGCTTATTTTCTGGGCTCTCAAATCCTCTGAGACAGCCTTCATTTTCACATATTGGAAGTCACCCATCAGGTTGTCTTCAAATCAAACATAACATAGCCCTTTCCACCTTCACAACCCTAGGATCCCTTCCACTGTTTGGGTGTTTTTTGGAGTTCCCCATCTTTTAACTAAATGAACCTCACTGCCCCAAACCAGGCACATCATCTTAATAATAACTCACAACTCTCATTGAAGGTTGACTGTGTGCCAGACACTGTAAATGCTAATTGCACCACGTTTCCTCTTGGTTAATCCTCAAAACAAATCCCACTAGTGCCATCACCGAGCTGGGGTTTACGGAAGGCTATTGGCTTGCCATGAGCTGGTAAGTGCAAAGCTGGGATTCAAATTCAGTTCTTCTCACTCCAAAGAATTAAGCTCTAAACAGTTTTGCTAGGTCGCCTCGGTCAGAAAATATACAACGGGTGGGTAGTTAGTGGTTCTTATCTATCACAGTCCACAGGAGGCAAACACACCAAAAGGTTGACAGTGATGATCTCTGGGTATTGGAATAATATTTTCTTTTTTATCCTTTATTTTCCAAATTTTTGTCTCTGCAATAACTTTCTTGACAGAAAAAATAAAATAAAGACATTTGAGTTACAATATCTTTATCTTTAGAAAAATAAAAACAGTAGACTCCATGGCCGTAATGTTTAACTCAGACTCAATGTCTCCATTGTTGTTTTGTCTGGAATAAGCTGAAAACTCCTCCAGGCAGGAGTGCTGCCCTTCATGACACTGATTATCCTGCCAGGCCCTGGATGACAAACTCTAATAATATATCTACTCCATTCCTCCGCCTACTCAGTCTGCAATTCTATCTGAAAAGTCATCAGGTCTGTCTGTGTCCCACAAGACCTGCGATGGTTTCCCACAACCCCTACCCCACTCAGATGTGCAGAACTGGATTAATCATACGTCATAGCTCATGACACACTCATCTCTGGTCCCTGCATTCCCCATCACCCTATTTGTAAAATAAGATAAAGAACATCCACCAGCTCACCACCCAAAACGAGTGTAATTTATATCCATCTGCTCACCTGAGCGAACTCTCCTGGATATTGAGTTTTTGGTTTACTATTCACTTCCTATTAAGTATATGTGTGTTTTATAGTTTTATCATAAATATACCTATTCTGGAAAACTTTGTTGTTTCATTTTAGTTGTTTTTAACATTGTGAAGGGAGCTTAATGTCGTGTGTAATTCTTGGACTTAACTTGCTTTTTTATTTTTGTTTTTTTATTTTGTTTGTTTGTTTTTGAGATGGGGTCTTGTTCTGTCACCCAGGCTGGAGTGTAATGGTGTGATCTCAGCTCACTGCAACCTCCACCTCGTGGGTTCAAGTGATTCTCGTGCCTCAACCTCCTGAGTAGCTGGGATTAGATGCCCGCCACCACATTCAGCTAATTTCTGTATTTTTAGTAGAGTTAGGTTTAATTAGTTTGGCCAGGCTGGTCTCAAACTCCTGACCTCAAGTGATCTGCCTGCCTCAGCCTCCCAAAGTGGATTACAGGCGTGAGCCACTGCACCCGGCTTTAACTTTCTCACTATTATATTATTCAGATTTATCCACTTTGTTGCGTGTCACTATAAGACCATCTGCCATTTAATGATTTAATAACTTTCCATTGTATGAACGTATTACATTGTATTTATCTTTTCTGCTGTTGATGGACAACTGGTTGATTTATACATTTTTGCTATTACAAAAAGGTCTACTCTGAACATCTTTAGATATGTCTCCTGGGTTTTCTTGTTGGTATATACCCAAGGATGGAAGGTTAGACCATAGAATATATGAATTTTCACATAGAGTATGTCAATTTTCACACACAAAAAGGCCAAAGTGTCGTCTCAGATGGTGGCACCACTTTATATCTGCACCAGTTGTGAATAAGAAACCTAGAAAGCTGCCTGCTTTTCAGATCCACATACAGATTCCCCAATATAAACTGTTACATCCTTAACCAAGGTTTCAGACCAGATTTATGCTAAAGTTCTAGTTCCGGGCTAGAGCGTCTTACCCTTTGTAAAGTTCTTTGGGGAAATACATGTGATTTTTCTCAGTCTTCTTGGATTGATCTAATTTTTAAGAACCCCAGAGAATACCTAGCCCTAACAGCATCTTCCTGTGTTACGGAAAAGCAATACTGAGTTGGGTGTTCTTACCTCTTCCCTGGTGCTCCACAAACTCACAGAGGATGTCATGTGGTTAACAGAAGACAACATCAAGTAGTCACCGACAATAGTAGTTATTGGAAGAAGAAAGTGGCTATTTTTTCAATTTAATTAAATGTGGTAATGAATGAGTGAATTCCCCCCAAGGGTAGGAGAAAGGAGAGTCCTTATTTTTCTTTGTTTTTTATTTCTTTTTTTTGGAATCATTTTTCCCCCAGAGATAGTCCCTTTATCTAAGAAAAAATAACTTCCTCCTGAAAGACAGACCGCTTTTCCAAAAACATAAAAGAAGCAGGCCACCTGCGCTAGCTCCTCTGTGTCTTCCTAGTCAAGTGAAATTGAAGGGGGCAGAGGAGGTCTCCGTGCACCGTGGAGGGGAAGGGAAGTATCCGCGGGACGTGGAGGAGGGAGGGGAGATCTCCATGGAGGCTGGAGGGGGAAGGGAGGTGACCACAGCTCTGCTTCCTCCTCAGGGAAGGGGAGTGGCCCAGTGTGGCTCCAACCACCAGGCTTCACCTGTGCCCTCGGCCCCACCACAGGCAGAGCCTGTTGCTGGACTTCCAGTTCACTTTTGTTCAGGCAAGTGAGTCTCCGTCATTGGCAGTTTAGCCCCGAGTTCAGTTCCACGTTTATAGATTATTCCCTCTCCATTGCCCATTCTAATACTCACCGCTGTTGATCTTCCCAAGTCTCTAAAAAAAAAAACAAAAAAAAAAAACAAAAAAAAGCCTACCCCTCAAATCACCTTTCCTTGACTCAGTTCATGCAGCAGGCTCCACACTTCTCGTCAACCCATTCCTCCAATGTCTCTTCTCTAACTCAGTACTCACCCACAGTGATTTTCAAAAGTGTGGTCTTTCTTTTTTTCTTTTTTTTTTTTTGAAACGGAGTTTTGCTCTTGCTGCCCAGGCCAGAGTGCAATGACATGATCTTGGCTCGCGGCAACCTCCGACTCCCAGGTTCAAGCGATTCTCCTGCCTCAGCCTCCCGAGTACATCCTCCTGGGATTACAGGAGTGTGCCACTAAGCCCAGCTAATTTTTGTATTTTTAGTACAGACAAGCTTTCACCATGTTGGCCAGGCTGGTCTCAAACTCCTGACCTCAGGTGATCCGCCCACCTTGACCTTCCAAAGTGCTGGGATTACAAGCATGAGCCACTGTGCCCAGCCAAAAATGTGGCCTTTCAAGAGTCAGCAGGCGTGTTGGTAGATGGTTTAAGTGACCACCTTACCAATTCCAAATGAATTGAGATGTGAGACCTCTGACCTCTCCTCAGTCAGTCCTTTGTCTCTATTTCCATAGTTGTCACTCTGGTCAGGAACTTGACCACTTCTCGCTTAGTATGGATTGCCCCCTTCCTTTCCACACCAGCACCAGGCTAACCCTCTGAAAAGTTCCCTTCTCATGCCATTCTCCTCCTCATGAATCTTCTTTGGCTCCCACTATCCACAGGTAAGATACACACTCCACAGCCTGGCAGGCCACTCCCTCCACAGCCGAATCCCAATACTCAATCCCAGGTGCCTTCCTGCCTCTGTGCTTTGGTTCCTGCCCTCTCCCACTGCAGTGCCCTCCTCTCTTCTCCATGCACGGTTAGATTCACCTCTTGCTCTCCATGACACCCTTCCATGTCACCAAAGCCCATAGTTCATTTAAAAAAAATTCATCCCGCCATCTATCCATTTATCCTTCCCTTCATTCAACAAATGTTTTCCTTTTACTGAGTACTTATGAGTCAAGCATTGTGCTAGATTCTGTGGAAGCAAAAATAAGTAAGTCATACTTCCCATCCTGGAGGGATTTAGTCTAATAGAATAAACACTAGCTACCATTTAGTTTGCACATATTATACATTAGCTATAGTACAAAGCATTTAATATATTTTGTCATAAATTATCTTCACAATAACACAATATGAGAGGTATTATAATTATAATCTTGATTTTATTGACGATAAAACAGAGGCTTAGCGGGGTCAGGTTATCTATCCATGGTCACTTGGGTGGCAATCAGCAGAGCCAGGAATGCGAGTCTGTAAAAACCTGCTCTGATGTCCGCCCTGGGAACACACTTCCTCTCACCATACCACTCACCTTCCTCTCCCTCTCTCTCTACCTTTCCCTCCTGCTGTCTCTTTGAGTTCACAGCATTTCGCAATTGATCATGTACTATATGTTTTCTCCTTGCATTTTCTTAACTCATTATGTAACTTCTGTGTGCACTTATTTCGTATTTCTTCAATTAGATTTGTAAATGCTGGGCCGGGCGCGGTGGCTCATGCCTGTAATCCCAGCACTTTGGGAGGCCAAGGCAGGCGGATCACAAGGTCAAGAGATCAAGACTATCCTGGCCAACATGGTGAAACCCCATCTCTACTAAAAATACAAAAAAATTAGCTGGGCGTGGTGGTGTGCACCTGTAGTCCCAGCTACTTGGGAGGCTGAGGGAGGAGAATCGCTGGAACACGGGAGGCGGAGGTTGCAGTGAGCCGAGGTCATGCCATTGCACTCCAGCCTGGTGACAGAGCGAGACTCCGTCTCAAAAAAAAAAGATTTGTAAATGCCATGAGACAAAGGGAGTTAGGAAAGGATGAAATCAAGAATATCATGCCTTGTGCAGAGTGGGATTCATATGTATGTTCCAGTTAAAACAGGTTTGGGATGTCAACACCTCAACATTTCATAGAGCTAGGAGGAGGTCATCCGTGAGTTAAACATAGATCACCAACAGTCTCAAACAGTGACCCCCAAACTTTTAAATTACAAGGGCCATCTTGTTATTAGAAACTCCTAATTTGCTTCTAAGCAAAGAAATCTTCTGACAATAACCAATGGAATAAATATTATGTATTAGCATTATTTTTAAAACAGTCATGAATTTAGTGATGCCTTTGAGCAAATTTGTGTTTTATTAATTGCAATTACACATCCCCATGTTTTTGAATAGTATGAGTAGGTGTAAAATATTATGCATGCAGTCTATAGATAATGCTTGCAGCCCCACAATTTTAAATGCCTCATCAGGCATCCATGTCCTATAGACTAGGAATCACTGGTTTATGAGTTCGCTACCCCTGAGCTGAGAGTGGACAAGGTGAGCTCACCTTGTAAAGGATCATGCTTCCCTTCTGAGTCCAGAATTCTTTTGTGGGAAGGAATCTTAGTTTAGGGCAGAGCTCTGACATTTTTCTGTCTTCTCTATTCAATAAGAGTACAAAAGGGGGAGGATCTCCCCTCACTGATTATGCAATATAATTACTACAGCCGTGAATGGGATTAACAGTCGTGGGTTCAGTGTGACAAATTTAAAAACAACTCAGTGAGCTCATTTTTAATGTCTCTTTCCTCTTTCCAGTTCAGATCTCAGAGAAATTTGAACTAACAGGGGTGAGTTCAGTCAAAGCTGGCTGTGTGCAAACTATCAACTGGTAACAGAATGCTGGCCATGGGAAGAGGAGGAGTTTCTCCCCTGTGCCCTTTGTTAAAACTTTTTTGGTAACTCATCTTTGGTTTTCGTTTTTTTTTTTTTTTTTTTTTTTTGAGGCAGGGTCTCACTTTGTCACCCAGGCACCACCCCTGAGTGGTCTTGGCTCACTGCAACCTCTGCCTCCTGGGTCCAAGTGATTCTTGTGCCTCAACCACCCAAGTAGCTAGGATTACAGGCATGTGCCACCACACCCAGCTAATTTTTGTATTTTTAGTAGAGACAGGGTTTCACCACGTTGGCCAGGCAGGGCTCGAACTCCTGTCCTCAGGTGATTCTCCCACTTCGGCCTCTCAAAGTGCTGGGATTACAGACGTGAGCCACCACACCTGGCCTCATCTTTGTTTTTTATTGAAAGTCAAGG
This sequence comes from Homo sapiens, assembly GCF_000001405.40. Taxonomy (NCBI): domain Eukaryota; kingdom Metazoa; phylum Chordata; class Mammalia; order Primates; family Hominidae; genus Homo; species Homo sapiens. Next base: position 7,523,578 of record NC_000006.12, on the reverse strand, counting down.
CTATATAGTCTGGGTAAAGAGTGTTGCTGAGTGAGTCTGGAAGAAATCATCTGAAGCAAGAACTATATGATTTATTGCATAACACAAAAAGGATATGTAGTATTTTGTTCATACATCTACCTAATTCTTCCTTAAGGATGCCTCAGATCCTTCTGCCATAAGCCTTTAAAATGAAAGGCAATACACAAAAAGGTAGAATATGATGCTCACCATCATTGTAGAACTAACAGGAAAGGTGGCAGCCTAGAAAGGAGTGAGTATTATTCCAAGAAAGAAACAGGCCCATACACAAACAACTGCAAATACGTTGTGGTGACTTAACTAAGAGATTAGACTTAATTTAAAAAGTAATAATGATCTTATTCATTTCAATCTAAACAATTCAGAGTTTTACCAGTTTATTTTAGAGAAACATGGACAATACTATTGCCCTCATCCCAAAATATATACAGAGCCCTTATCATGTGCATGGCATAATGAAAAGCAACAATATTCTATTTTAAGGAATTAGGTGCCTCTTATAGTCTAAAGGTCAGATCTAGAAATACTGTTCTCTATTTGGGCTTCCAAATTTCCCTCTGGTCTGAAGAACAGATCTCTCCCTTGAGAAGTTCAGCTTCTCAAACAATGTCAGGCACATAATAGGACTCAGGAAAGATCTGTTGAATGAATGAATGAGTGAATGAGTGAATGAATGAGCTCATGAACGGGGTGCCTGTCACTTCAGCAAACAAATGTCTCAACACAAAACCACAAGCAGTGGTGTCTGCCTGTAGGCCCAGCTAGTCGGGAGGCTGAAGTGGGAGGACTGCCTGAGCCCAGGAGTTTGAGGCTATAGTGCACTATGATTGCATTTGTGAATAGCCAGTGCACTCCAGCCTGAGACATATTTTAAAAAGAAAAAAATGTATGAACACAGACATCCCATCCTCATTCAGGAAAAACTCAGAATGGAACTTCAGGCAGATGGTGAAAAGCCACACATTCTACCAGTTGCTTTAACTGCACTGTTTCCCCTTCCAAACCTGGATTTCTTATGGTCTTTACATCAAAAGTAGAAGTGAAAGCGGATTCTCCATGGTTGTGTGCACCTTTTGAATGATAAATAGTCAATCATTTTAAGGCAGTGTGTACAGGGGTGGCTGAGTCTGGAGAGTGGGATTTGTTGAGGAAGGTCTGTACGAGGAGCCCAAGGCAAGGATAGCGTGGGGTAGAGAAGGATGTCTACTGAGGATAGAAATAGGAAAGGAGAAATCAATGCAGGAAAAACAGGAAGCTCTGTGTGTGTGTATGTGCACATTTCACACGTGCATAAAAGTAAAATATGCAAATATATATGACTTGAATCGGATCCACAAATAAGCACTAAAATACACCAGCTACAGAGATGTTCTCTGTAAAATACACCAGAACAGAGATGTTCACAGCCCCTCTAGGTCAAACGATTAAACGAAAAGACTGATGGCATCTGTGGGAAAGATGTTTTAGCTTTTGAGCTCTACAGCTTTATATCAAGCTCATCCAATCACTCTAGGGCACTAAGGAAAAAGATGAAAAAAAATAGCATTCTTTATCATTATAACTGATGAGATAAAAATACTGACAAGACAGCTTTCTGTCCACAGGAACAAACTTAAACTGGTTAACTTGAAAAGGAAACATTCAAAAACAGATGATATGAATACATGGCGTTAGAATTAGGGTAGTGGTGGCCAGGCACAATGGCTCACGCCTGTAATACTAGCACTTTGGGAGGCTGAGGCAGGCGGATTACTTGAGGCCAGGAGTTTGAGACCAGCCTGCCCAACATGGTGAAACCCTGTCTCTACAAAAAATACAAAAATTAGCCAGGTGTGGTGGTATGCACCTGTAATTCCAGCTACTCAAGAGACTGAAGCACAAGAATCACTTGAACCTGGGAGGCAGAGGTTGCAGTGACCCAAGATTGAACCATTGCACTCCAATCTGGTGACAGAGTGAGACTCTGTCTCAAAAAAAAAAAAAAAAAAAAAGAATTAGGGTAATAGTTACCTTGGGTAGGGAGTGACCAAAAGGGTCCAAAGAGGGGACTTCTGGGATGACAGTAATGTTTTGTTTCTTGACCTGGGGACATGGTGTGTTGATGAGTGAGGAAATTCATCCCACTCTGTACTTATGATTTGTATGTATTTCTATATGAATATTACACTTTAGTAAAAAGTTTACTCAAAATGCCTACATAGACATTTGTTTTGTTTTGTTTTGAGATAGGGTCTCACTCTGTCGCCCAATGGAGTGCAGTGGCACTATCAGAGCTCACTGCAGCCTCAACCTCTCTGGGCTAAGGTGATCCCTCCTATCTCAGCCTCCCAAGGAGCTGGGACTACAGGTGCCTGCCACCACATCTGGCTAATTTTTGTATTTTTTGTAGAGATAGGTTTTGCCATATTGCCCAGGCTGGTCTCTAACTCCTGGGCTCGAGCAATCTTTCCACCTCGGCCTCCCAAAGTGCATGGATTATAGACATGAGCCACCATGCCCAGTGCTATCTAGAAATTTCAAGATTATTTCATTGGCAATTGAATCTCTATAAAAACACAAGCAACTTCAAAACTTATATATATTTTCTTTAATGAGGGTGGTGATGGATGGAATTCTAGCAATGAAGAGAAAGAGAGCCTATTCATAAGTCAAGTGTTTGGAGCTTCCCAGGGAGATGAGACGTTAGTCCTACATAATTATTAAAGGAAATATTGTGCTACACTTACTATGGAGCCCAAACTGATGGGCCAGATAAAAGTCTAGGCTCTCTGCAGGTCATACAGTCATTTAGCCTGTACTTTCCTAATTGTTTTCTTCTCTGGTATTACTAAAGGGCTTATTAACCTGCTGGTAAACAATGAACACAGATTAGTGGTCATTAATTAAGGTCATGGGTCACCTAATAGGGATGGCTCAGTGAGTAGTTTCTGTTGGTCTTACGCAGCACCTGATAGACCATCAGAGATGACCAGGTCAAATATGGCTGTGTCACAACTCTATTCTCTCAGGAGGAAATGCTCCTTCCTCTCACTTTCCACCTCACCCTTTATGGATAAAGGAGGCCAATACAACGTGGGCCTGCCGGGGTCGTGTATTCTTACCCAGTCAGATTTTGACGCCTGCCTCTCCCGTGAGGTATTCCACCAGGGATCCCCTCCCTCATTGACATGAGCAGACAGGACCATGAGGGCTATTTGTTCCCAAACTCCTCACCATCAATATCACCTTTTTTCCATTTTCTCCAACTTCGAGAATTGGGAGCCCAGGCATGGTGGCTCATTTCTATAATCCCAGCACTTTGGGAGGTCAAGGTGGGAGGATTCCTTGAGCTCAGGAGTTTGAGGCCAGCCTGGGCAACATGGTGAGACTCCATCTCTGTAAAATTAGATTAATACAAATAAAAAATAAAAAGAATTGGGAGAAGTGACTGGTAATTTCTCTTTATGAAAAGAAAATCCCCCAAAGTATTCTTAATCATTTTTCATATTCAAAGGTAAAAATCTGTCAGCATCACATGATGACTGGTGGAATTTCCAGATCAGAGGTATGAGCATTCCACAAAAGTGTACTTACTCCCACTTCAGCAAGGACAATTACATCTCTATCCCTATGAAATATCAGGATTCTGTGCAAGATTTCGCAAGTAAAAAAGGAGTTTTGATGATTTTAAGAAGTTTTAAGGGTCCCAGCAGCTTAGGGGTGGTAAGAATTGCAGCCAGGACAGCTCTGCAAAGGCCCTCGCAGTGCCGGCCCGGAACACTGCCAGGAAGCCGGGGAAAAGGAGCAGTTCAGCTCAAGAGACAGTCATGGAGAGACTGGCAAGATGGTATCCAAACCTGTTCCTGCAGATGCTGAAACTGATTTTAAAATATACAAACAATAAAAGTAAGAAAGTGTAAACAAAAGGGAAAGGAGGAGCAAAACTATGAAATCAGACTCACCTGCAGAAAATGAAGATGCTAAAACCAGAAGAGGCCAGACTCTGGGGAAGCAGGAGAGAAAGCAGCCAAATCTGGTGAGTATCCTCAACCGAGTACCCTCGATTATCTCAGCATTGCCTTCTTGCAGAAGCCAGAAGAGCCATTTTACCAACTATTTTGTAAAGGCAAGTTTTTAATAGTTCTAGAAACACACTTGTAAGAAGCAGGAAACCTACCCCTTCCCTTAAAAAAAAAAATTGTTTTTGATAAGGGTAAATACTTTTTTAAAGAAGTAAGCTCATGGCCTGGGGTTAGGTTTCTTTTCCTTTTATTTAGTGCCCTTTCCCCACCCTGGTTGTATATTTTTCCATATACATCATACATTTTTCAATTTAGCTATTCATAGAATAAGTGGAAATCGAATTAAGGGAGACATTGACTGTAGTCTGAGGGTGGGGGAGGGGAGGTGGTGGAAACTGTGCTAGCAGTTTCCAACATCCCATTACAAGAAGCACAATCAGGCTGGGTGTGGTGGTGTGTGTCTCTAATCCCAGCCCCTTGGGAGGCCAAGGCGGGTGGATCACTTGAGCCCAGGGGTTTGAGACCAGCCTGGGCAACACAGAAAAACCCTGTCTCTACTAAAAACAGAAAAATTAGCCGGGCGTGGTAGTGCGCGTCTGTAGTCCCAGCTACTCAAGAGAACCACCCCAGCCCAGGACACAGAGGTTGCGGTGAGCTGAGATCGAACCAGGTCACTGCATTCCAGCCTGGGCCACAGAAGGAAACCCTGTCTCAAAAAAAAAAAAAAAAAAAAAAAAAAAAAGCACAATCCAATGGCAATTTAAAGTCGTAATCATGCATTTAACTTATAAACATTTTATACTGCTTAGCTTTATTCCCTTGTCTTTTACTAAAATTATTTATAAAACTACTCCTTGATCTGGGTTCCCTGATGGAAGAGGGTGTCCTCCATGACACTTTTGTTCCTGGTAATCCAATTTTTCCTAATAATTTTATCAATGTGTTGTGAAAGATTGGACAGTTTTGAGCATGTAGTATCTATATGAAATCGTGAATTAGTCAAATTTTAGACCAAACAAATTTTCAATGTTTTAAGATGATGGCATTTGAAAACCTGTTTCTAAAAAAAATAATTTGTCTCCAAATCGTAAGCTAAAAAGTCAATAGAATAACTGTTTGGAAAAGAATTATAGTTGCATAGCTTTTTATATTTTCAGTACTCACTGTTAAGAACTATATACAGGGTTTCTGCAGAGGCTGTGTCAGAAGCCAAGGCAGCGGGAGTCCGGTTTTGGATTGCCAGCCTGTGTGTGTGAGTCTGAGCATGTGAGCAGCTGTAGCGCCCCAGCTCCCCATCAGCATATCATCCCGGCAGGAGATAAACTACGTTCAGTTAAGTCTGAAAGACTGGAAGGAATTGGGGTGATAAGAAATTGATGCACTGTTGGCGGGGCACGGTGGCTCACGCCTGTAATCCCAGCACTTTGGGAGGCTGAGGCGGGCAGATCTCCTGAGGTCAGGAGTTCGAGAGCAGCCTGACCAACATGGTGAAACTCCATCTCTACTAAAAATACAAAATTAGCCGGGCATGGTGGCGCATGCCTGTAATCCCAGCTACTCGGGAGGCTGAGGCAGGAGAATCACTTGAACCCCTGGAGATGGAGGTTGCAGTGAGCCAAGATCATGCCATTGCACTCCAGCCTGGGCAACAAGAGCAAAACTCCGTCTCAGAAAAAAAAAAAAATTGATTCACTTTCAAGGTTTATTAAACTCAAAATGTCTAAAAAAATCAGTGGCGGTTCTGTGGTAGAGATGCAAGGAGATGAAATGACACAAATCATTTGGGAATTGAATAAAGAGAAACTCATTTTTCCCTATGTGGAACTGGATGTACATAGCTATGATTTAGGCATAGAGTACTGTGATGCCACCAACGACCAGGTCACCAAGGATGCTGCAGAAGCTATAAAGAAGTATAACGTTGGTGTCAAGTGTGCCACTATCACTGCTGATGAGAAAAGGGTTGAGGAGTTCAAGTTGAAACAAATGTGGAAATCGCCAAATGGCACCATCCAAAATATTCTGGTTGGCACGGTCCTCAGAGAAGCCATTATCTGCAAAAATATCCCCCAGCTTGTGAGTGGATGGGTAAAATCCATCATCGTAGGTCGCATTGCTTATGGGGATCAATACAGAGCAGCTGATTTTGTTGTTCCTGGGCCTGGAAAAGTAGAGATAACCTACACACTAAGTGACAGAACCCAAAAGGTGACATACCTGGTACATAACTTGGAAGAGGGTGGTGGTGTTGCCATAGGGATGTATAATCAAGATAAGTCAATCGAAGATTTTGCACACAGTTCCTTCCAAATGGCTCTAAGGATTGGCCTTTGTAGCTGAGCACCAAAAACACTATTCTGAAGAAATATGATGGACGTTTTAAAGACATCTTTCAGGAGATATATGACAAGCAGTACAAGTCCCAGTTTGAAGCCCAAAAGATCTGGTATGAGCATAGGCTCGCTGATGACATGGTGGCCCAAGCTATGAAATCAGAAGGAGGCTTCATCTGGGCCTGTAAAAACTATGATGGTGACATGCAGTCAGACTCTGTGGCCCAAGGGTATGGCTCTCTTGGCATGATGACCAGCATGCTAGTGTGTCCACATGGCAAGACAGTAGAAGCAGAGGCTGCCCACTGGACTGTAACCCGTCACTTCTGCATGTACCAGAAAGGCCAGGAGATATCCACCAATCCCATTGCTTCCATTTTTGCCTGGACCAGAGGGTTGGCCCTCCGAGCAAAGACTGATAACAATAAAGAGCTTGCCTTTTTTGCAAATGCTTTGGAAGAAGTCTGTATTGAGACAATTGAGGCTGGTTTCATGACCAAGGACTTGGCTGCTTGCATTAAAGGTTTACCCAGTGCGCAATGTTCTGACTACTTGAATACTTTTGAGTTCATGGACAAACTTGGAGAAAACTTGAAGATCAAACTGGCTCAGGCCAAACTTTACGTTCATACCTGGGCTGAGGAGGATAAGTGTCTTTTGATAACTAGGTCTACAGGTTTTCATTTTTCTGTGTCACACTCAAGGATAAAGGCAAAATCGATTGTGTAATTTGTTTAGAAGCTAGAGTTTATCTTTATTGTAAGTTTATAGACATATATATATATACAGTTATTGCCACCGTTGTGAATATGGGAAGGGACTTTAAATTTTATTTTCTGGTAGCAGCCTAGGAATTCGGTTAGTACTCATTTGTATTCACTGTCACTGTTTCTCATGTTCTAATATAAATGACCAAAATCAAGAGTGCTCAAAGGGTAAGTGATAGCCACAGTATTGTTCCCTAAAATATGCATAAAGTAGAAATTCACTCCCTTCTTCTCCTGTGCATGACCTTGGGCACGGGAAGGTTTTGTTGTTAAAGATGTCCCATTACGTGATGTAGAGTTGTACGTTAAACTCGCACGTGACTGGGGCAAACTATGAGTGCAACTCAAACGCGTTGAAGACACTGCAGTCATTTTTGTAAAGAGCTTGCTGAATGTTTCCAATAGACTAAATAGCTTTTAGGCCACAGGAAAGTTTGGAATCTGGGATAAATACTACCTGGAGGTTTGGGAAAAAAAATAAAAGAACTATATAGAAATGAATCATTAGGTCTATGTACTGATCATTAAACAAAAACAAAAACAAAACAGTAAAATATCAATTAAGGTAGAAAAAAAGTCTAAAAACAGAGGTATGGTAGAAAGAGCACTGGATTTTTAGGCAGGTGGACAGGACTCCTAACCCAGAGAAGTTACGTGATTTGTGTGACATTGCAGAGCAAATGTTATATGGCAAAGCCAAGACTTGACCCATGCCTTCAGGTTCTCAGCCCTGCTGTTCATTACCCAACATGGCCGCTCAGAGGTGACTCTTCATCCTACAGTTATGCGTGGCTTGCAAAGCCAAAGAGCCAGAAATGGGTTCAACTCTAGATGTTCTCATTCACTAGATTGCCTGTAGCAATGATTCTCAGTACTTGCCATGTATCAGATTATATGAAGGAGCTTTGGAAAACATACAGTTGCCCAGATCCCTCTTCCAAAGATTCTGACTCATTTGTTCTGGGGTGGGGCCCAGGTAGTTTTATTTATTAAAAAAATCTCCCTGGCTGATTCTCATATGCAGCCAATTTGATGAGAATCATTGTTTTCTGGCACTGGTTCTCAACCCTGGCTGCACATTAAAATCACTTGGGGAGCTTTGAAAGCTACATGCCTAAGTCCCATCCTCAGAAACAGTCAATCACCTGGTCTGGGTGCATCCTGAGCCCTGGCCTTTGCAAAAGCTTTCCAGGTGATGCTAATGTATAGCAGATATGAGAACCATTGCTCATAGGCTTCCCAAACCATGCATCCTTAGTCTAAAATCATCTCTCAGGGAAGGGCCTGATCATCAGCGTTCTGAAAACTCTAGCACTGTCGGTGTTCAATAAGTGCTTGTTGAAAGAATTGCCTCATGAGAATCAATGTCTATTGACAGGTGAGAAGAAAAGGGCAAGTTTAAGAAATAATGAGCATTTAATATGAAAATGTCCTGAGGGTGGATTATATAGTTAGTTAAGCAAATATTATGACAATATGCAGATGATTTTATGAACACAAAGGTGGCCTTCTTAAGTCGTAGAGGCTGCTATCCTAAACCTGGGATAGTCTTACGTAGGGTAAACACACCTGGTAGCAATTCTTTAAGCATACTCTGAGAATGCCCCTGGATGGCAGATGCATCTAAATGTGTGTTCCAAGCTGGGGAACCCAAGTAGCTAACCTGGAAGTTCGTTCCTTATCTATGATAAACATCTGAGCCCCTTGCATGTTCCATGGAACACAGGCTGTACATCAAGGCCCTGAGTTTTGGGTTAAATGAAGGTTGCCAGGTGGAGGTTGTCACGGGGAGGGTGTTAAGTGGAAATGCTATGGAAACTGCATGCTGTTTGCAGGTGGCTGCAGTTTTCCTGCCCAACCCACTGCCACTGGGCTATGTGGTTATGTTGTCCATCCTGCCACCGCTGGACTCTCTCCCCTGTATGTAATTCCCTAATAAAACCCTGTGTCTCATTTGCTGGCTCTTGGTCTCTTCTTTGGCCTCTTGAACCTGGTACCTTCCCTATTGAGATTAATAGGAGTTTGGCACAACACCTTATCCCCAAGAATATTGTGATAGTGAGAATCAGCAAATTCTACCTACCTTAACTGATCCCTACCTCAGACAGAACCATTCTTTACTGAATCCAACAGCAGTCTCAGCACAAGGCATCTGGAACACTGGATAATTCTCTTACCAAATGCTGTTTCCAGTATATAATGAAGACCACGACCCACCAGTGGGTATTTACACTATGGAAGAGCTATTTGCCTTCACGGATATGAGCAGACTAGGAAAAGAAAAATGATTTCCCCTTTTAACTTATTTAACAAGAATGTTAACTGACAAAGCAGAATAGCAAAATTGTCTCTGCTGCATAATCCCACATTTGCAATAAACATGACCTGGAAGAAATTTACCAAAATATGAACAGGGCTCATAGTTATCTTTGGATAGAGAGATTATGGTGATTTTTATGTTTTCCTTTATACTTTTCTATTTTCTGAATGTTCTGCCTAGTACAGATATTACTTTTAATAAGAAAAAAACACACTATTCTTTAAAAATTGTGTGTGTGTGTGTGTGTGTGTGTGTGTGCAGGAGGTGGGTTAAAAAAATTTAAGGTGCTCAAGCTTGGGGAATGACTATCAGAGGCATTTGTAAATCTGCTGGCACTTAGACAAGGAGGAGCAGGTTTGCCCGACAGTTTGAAAACTCAGCAGGTCCATTAGTGCTTTCATAAGCAGGTGGAGATTTTGCAAGCCTGGTGTGGAGCTTGCCAGCGTCAGCAAAGTTGGTATCAGCCAGGTGACCAATAAAGATGAGGTTCCAGTTTAACTTTTGTCTGTCCACTTGGTGCCTGACACATACGAACGCATCTGAACACTCTTGATGTCAGACTGCTGTTGACTGATAATGTTAAATGCATGGAGAAGACACGAGGAGAAACTATTCAGAAAGATTCATGGTACAAACCCCTAGGTTCTAACACTTGACCGAAGCTGCTCTCAATGTCTATAAATCTATTTGGTTTGGAAGTCAGGTGCAAATGGCATATGGATGAATCTCTTAGAGAAAATTTAGCTGAACTTATGTGCTTGGCTTACCCGAGAAGCCCAGTGAGTATCATAGACCAGTAGGAGCTCCCAGGTACAACCTCAAATCCAGTAGCAATGTCCTCTTACCTTCAGCAACAAGGCTCTCTTTCCTCAGAAACTTCCAACTCTTCATAACCATCTATAAGACGACTTCTTTCAAACTTTCATGGTCCAGTGCAGTGGCTCATGCCTGTAATCCCAGCATTTTGGGAGGCCGAGGTGGGAGGATTGCTTGCATCCAGGAGTTCAAGACTAGCCTGGGCGGCATTAGCCAAACCCTGTCTCTACAAAAAATAAAAAAATTAGCTGGGTGTGATGGTGAATGCCTGTAGTCCCAGCTACTCAGGAGGCTGAGATGGGAGGATTGCTTGAGCCTGGGAGGTCAAGTATGCAGTGAGCTATGATTGCACCACTACACTCAGCCTGGGCAACAGAGTGAGACCCTGTCTCAAAAAAACAAAACCAAACCCTGATGCTCAATCTCTTTTTGCTATGAACTTCTTCTACCTCTTTCTTGAATTTTCCACTTATCTTCTGTTGCGTGACACAGATATTCTTCCTTCATTACTTTCCTGAAGCAAAACTTCCCCTTAATATCCTCAACCCCAATACCCATCAACACCCTCCTAGTGTCCTTGAACACCCATCCCATCTCACCACCAGCAGAAAGCCTTACAATCAGGAAGTTTTATTTTCTGCTTAACTTAAATGTCATCTATTATAAATTGAATTGTAAATAACTTGAGGGAAGCCATCTATTTATCCATCTTTGTATCCCTCCAAAAGCACATAGGCTACTAAACATTTGTAGAACAAATGAGTTTCCTCTGAAAGAACAACAGTAGCATTTTATAATGACATCATACATTTGTTTATATAGAGCCATTTTCAAAGCATATGAGCCTTGCAGCTGCAAATGGGATCTGCAGAACTGCAAAACTGACCTCTTCTGGGAGTTATTTAGGAAAAAGTTATCTTTGCCTCCTGCTCCCTTCTGCTCCCCGCTTCCCTTATACACACCGACTGAACTGGAATCTGAGTTTTAATAAAATCCCAGGCAATTCCTTTGGCATTCAAGGTTGAGAACCAGTGGTCTAGACTAGAGCCTTGGCTCTCAACCTTGGCTGTGCATTGCAATCATATAAAAAACTCTGGAGCCTGAGCTGCAGCCCTCTTCTGCCCATCCGATTTAATCAATCCTCCCTGAGCAATAGGATTCTTCTTTTGAGACGGGGTCTTGCTCCGTTGTCCAGGCTGGCATGCAGTGGCGCTGCAGCCTCAGTCTCCCCAGGCTCAGGCCATCTTCCCACCTCATCCTCCCAAGTAGCTGGGACTACAGATACACACCACCAAGCCCAGCTAGTTTTTGTACTTTTTGGTCGCCCAGGCTGGTCTTGAACTCCTGGACTCAAGCGATCCGCCCACCTCAGTCTCCCAAACTACTGAGATTGCAGGTGTGAGCCACCACACCCTGGCCAAAAATAGGATTTTTAAAGGCGCCCCAGTGAGCTGCCAGGGAAGAGAAACACTGTGAGTGCCTTCATGGGAACTCTCCAAAACTCCTACAATATTTTGTGAGCCCAGTGTGTCACCTCTATAGTGATTTCCCTTTTTTTCCCATGCAACTTTCCCTTAAGATTGTATTACTTCTCATCTTCCATAAAAATATCACTCAGTTTTATTTCTCAGTAGGCATTTATTGAGCACCTAAGATTTGCACAAACACAAAACCCATTCTTAAACTTCCTTTCACAGTAAATTATCTAAATTATCTTTCTTGGGCTCTTTCTCCACCAATGCTGTTTTCTAATTGTATAAGCATTCTTTGGTACCGGTATAATTTTGGCTTGTCATTTCCAGAGTAGAGGAAAAGAAAATTAATTCTATTTTGTCTAGTTTTAAAACAAACTACAGATTATTTTAGGCCACAGAGATACAAAAGTTGATTATATTTAAAAGCAAACAGACCCAGTCCTTTAACCTTGATCAATATACCATGTTTCACTTTCTCATCCAAACTGTAACAGCTAAGACTTCTAGAGGGCTTGCAATGCCTTGACAGGTGCTAAGTGTTTTACCTGTATTATCTCACTTGATCTACCCGACAATGCTATGAGGTACATTCTATTGTTATCTCTATTTTTTGGATGAAAAAACAGCAGCACAAAGAAGTTCAGTAACTGGCCTAAGGCCACACAGCTTGTCTTCCTGAAGACTGGACCCAAACCCAGGCAGTCATAGAACATGCTGGTCGCTATTGGGCCGCTTGTTCTATGGGGGACGGTGCTCCAGGAACACAGCAATGCGGTTTAGGATTCCAGGACCTGGGGCAGCTGCTGCTTCTTTCTTAGTTCTCGACAGACCACTGAGTGCAGTTTTTCTAAATCTTTTCCCCACTTTGATATGTGGTCCATAAAACTGCTTCCACACGTATAACCCACTGTGAAGTTTAAAATGATTTCATGTTTGGGCAAATTCCTACTGAATGTTAAGCTAGATAGGAAACAAGTTCTGACTAACACAGATGAAGGTCTGAATGAAGAAGTCTTACTTTTATAAAGGAATTTTCCCCTCCTCACCAAATCCAGTTTTAAATGTTGATATCTCTGTTGCAAAAAGATGATAAATAAATGTGTCCTTTGCTCAGTAGTGGGTGTATGGGTGTGGATATAAGGGTAAGAAAGTTAAGAAATGTCCAGTAGTATACAAAGGGCATTCTTGGGCTGGGTGTAATCCCAGCCCTTTGAGGGGCTGAGGTGGAAGGATTCCTTGGGCTCAGGAGTTCAAGGCCAGCCCTGGGAGTTCAAGGCCAGCCCTGGGCAAAATAGCAAGACCCTATCTCTAAAAAAAAAAAAAAAAGAAAGAAAGAAAAAAAGAAAGAAAGAAAAGAAAAATTAAAAAGGTAAAGGGCATTTTTTAAAATTATTGCTATTTTTTTTTTTTTTTGAGACGGAGCCTTGCTCTGTTCCCCAGGCTGGAGTGCAGTAGTGCGATCTTGGCTCACTGCAACCTCTGCCTCCCAAGTTCACGTGATTCTCCTGCCTCAGCCTCCCAAGTAGCTGAGATTACAGGCATGTGCCACCACACCCGACTGATTTTTGTATTTTTAGTAGAGACAGGTTTTCACCATGTTGGCCAGGCTGGTCTCGAACCCCTGACCTCAGGTGATCCACGCACCTTGGTCTCCCAAAGTGCTGGGATTACAGGTGTGAACCACCGTGCCCGGCAGGGCAGTCTTTTTCTTTAGATTCTTTTTCTTTGGGCCTCGTCTGTAACCATCCATAGTAATAGCTATTTTCTTCCATCCTTCCCTCACTGAGGAGGAAATGATTTCCTTTCATTCCTTCTGGTTGTTCTAGAGCAGGACTTCTCTACCTGAGTGCTATTGACATTTTGGATGGGATAATTCTTTGTTATGGAGGGCTGTCCTGTAGATTGTAGGATTTTCTGCAGGATCCCTGGCCTCTACCCAGTAGACACAGCAGCACCTCATTTCAGTGTGACAACCAAAAATGTCTTGCCTCATGTCCCCTGGGGAGTAGAGAGGGAGGGGCAAAATCACCCCGGTTTGAGAACCACTGTTCTGGAAATATTCACTGGCATTGCAACCCCACACATTCACATTTTGCCATATTGCATCCTTAACTATTGTTTCAAAGATTTCAAGGCCACGTATTAGGTGTTCCCAGTATTGTTTCTCTGTTTTTCTCCCTGTCCTTGCCTTTTGTGCCCTCATTGGATGAACTCCCCAGGAAATATCCTGAAGGTGACATGCTGAATGCTGCAGCCGGGAGCACGGAAATGGCTTTGGAGGATCCATGTATCCCAGGGTGGGACCCTGGGGGATGCAGGCATACTCTACCATCACCACTGCCTTATCTGCAGAGCTGGCTTGCTCCTGCGGGCCTTCCTCTTAAGTTTATGTGGACACCATAGCACCGCTGACATTATTCTGGTAGTTCCTTGTAGAAAACAAATGTCTCATCTTTGATGGTGTTGATAAACATAAAACACCTGTGCTCCAAGTGCAGTTTGTCTGAGGACAAAGGCAGGACTCTGATATACAGAATAAGCGACGAAGACAGGTTAAGAATGCTGACTAGAGATAGTAGCTTGTTTTTGCTCCACTTATATGTAGGTCTCAATGATGCATGTATTGATGGATGTGAATATGTGGCAGAAAATTGTTTCCATTTTTTGGATCCAGTTTAAAAAGATAAATTAGATAAGACTGCCCATGGAGAGCTTCTAGTTGACTTTCAACCATGATGTCCGATGATTCAATAATAGTAATGGCTAACACTTTTTTTTTTTTAAGAGATGAGATCTTGCTATATTTGCCAGGCTGGTTTTGAACTCCTGGGCTCAAGTGATCCTCCCTCCTCAGCCTCCCAAAGTACTGGGATTATAGGTGTAAGCCACCGCACCCAGCCACTAACACTTATTGAGCACATACTGTGTGCCAAAACTGTACCAAGGGCTTTACTTGACTGTCTCATTTTAACCTTACAGCAGGTTTAAGAAGTACATGTCATTATCATCTCCATTTTACAGATAACCAAACAGACTCATATTGATCAAGTTACTTTTCTGAGCTTATATTTCTTTTTTTTCTTTTTCTTTTTTCTTTGTTTCTTTCTTTCTCTTTCTCTTTCTTTTTCCTTTTTTTTTTTTTTTTTTTGTGAGACAGAGTCTCGCTCTATTGCTCAGGCTGGAGTGCAATGGCACGATCTTGGCTCACCGCAACCTCTGCTTCCCAGGTTCAAACAATTCTTGTGTCTCAGCCTCCCGAGTAGCTGGGATCACAGGCATGTACCACCACACCCAACTAATTTTTGTATTTTTAGTAGAGAGGGGTTTTCACCATGTTGGCCAAGGCTGGTCTTGAACTCCTGGCCTCAAGCAATCCACCTGCCTTGGCCTTCCAAAGTGCTGCGGTTATAGATGTGAGCCACCACTTCTATAATCACATCTATCTATAACCACACGAGCCCGGCCTGAGCTCGTATTTCTTATAAAGACACAAAATAGAGATTGAAGGCCCAGCGCAGTGGCTGGTGCCTGTAATTCCAGCGCTTTCAGAGACTGAGGCAGGAGAATTGCTCGAGGCCTGGAGTTTGAGACCAGCCTGGGCAACATAATGAAACTCTGTCTCTATTAAAAAATTTTTTAAAATTAGCTGGGTGCGGTGGCATGTGCCTGTACTCCTAGCTACTTGGGAGGCTGAGGTGGGAGGATCCCTTGAGCCAGGAGGTTGAGGCTACAGTGAGCCATGATCGTGCCAGTGCACAACAGCCTGGGTGACAGAGTGAGACCTTGTCTCAAAAAAAAAAAAAAAAAAAAGAGAGTTTTTTTTTTTCCAGGGAGTTTGTCTCCAACGTTTTTGGTTATTGTCGTTCTTATGTATATGTGTAGAATATTTTCCAAATTGTGGTAAAAGACACATTCACAGAAATCTTAACCGTTTTTAAGTGTACAGTTCACTGACATTAAGCACATTCACACATTGTGCAGCCGTCACCACCGTCCATCTCCAGAACATTTTCATCTTTCCAAACTGAAGCTCTGTACCTGTTAAACAATAACTCCCATTCCCCTCCCCCACTCTAGCCTTTGGTAACCCACATTCTACTTTCTCTCTCTATGAATCTGACTCCTCTAGGTATCTCAAATAAATGGAATCATCCAGTATTTGTTTTTCTGTGTCTGGCTTATTTTTACTAAGCGTAATGTCCTCGAGGTTCATCCTTGTTGTTGCATGTGCCAGAATTTCCTTCCTATTTAAGGCTGAATAATATTCCATTGTATGGACAGGCCACATTGTGTTTGTCCATTCATCCATCATCATGGGTTACTCAGTTGCTTCTGCCTTTTGGCTATCACAAATAATATTTCCATGAACACTGGTGTACAAATATACCTTCAAGATCCTGTTTTCTTTTCTTTTCTTTTTTGTTTTTCGAGACAGAGTCTTGCTCTGTCGCCCAGGCTGGAGTGCAGTGGCGCGATCTCAGCTCACTGCAACCTCCCATGCCTGGGTTCAAGTGATTGTCCTCCCTCAGCCTCCCGAGTAGCTGGGATTACAGGCACGTGCCACCACGGCTGGCTAATTTATTTTTGAGACAGAGTTTCACTCTTGTTGCCCAGGCTGGAGTGCAATGGCACGATCTGGGCTCACCGCAACCTCAGCCTCCCGGGTTCAAGCAATTCTTCTGCCTCAGCCTCCCTAGTAGCTGGGATTTCAGGCATGTGCCACCATATCCAGCTAATTTTGTATTTTTAGTAGAGACGGGATTTCACCATGTTGGCCAGGCTAGTCTCAAACTCCTGACCTCAAATGATTCACTCACCTCGGCCTCCCAAAGTGCTGGGATTACAGGCATGAGCCACTTCGCCTGGCCGCCTAGCTAATTTTTGTATTTTTTAGTAGAGACAGGGTTTCACCGTGTTGGCCAGGCTGGTCTTGAACTCATGACCTCAAGTGATCCGCCTGCCTCGGCCTCCCAAAGTGCTGGAATTATAAGCGTGAGCCACTGTGCCTAGCCAAGACTCTGTTTTCAGTTCTCCTGGATGTAACCCCAGTGGTGAGATTGCTGGATCATATGGTAATCGTCTGTGTAGTTTTTTTGAGGGACTCCCATACTGTTTTCCACACCGGCTACACCATTTCACATTCCACCAACAATGCACAAGGGTTCTAATTTCTCCACACCCTCACCCACCATTATTATTTTGTTTGTTTCTGTTTTCTTTTTTTTTTTTAAGTACAATTTCCATTTAATTTTTTTCCAGAGAATAGTTCGTCTTCAGTCTTTAAGGACTCAGCTCTTTACATGGACTTTGCTGGCAGTTGTGGGGCAGCACCCGCAGGTCTAAACGGGGTGGGGGTGTTCGGTCCTTGCGGGCTTCATGAGATCGATTCCTGACTACTTTGCTGTGAATTGCACAACTCACACAGTAACGTAGCTTTACATACAGCTCGGGAAGCACATAGACATCGAAGACGCTCGCTTCAGAAATGTCCCTGACTGCTGCGGTCTCCACTATGTTTCGAGAGACGAATTTCTTAATGGGTTTGTCCTTGGGCACACATAGGGCACAGTTTGTGCAGCGAATAGGCTATACGTGGCCGCGGCTCTTTTTGGCACAATTATTGTTCCTTCTTTTCTTCATCATCTTGAAGACACGGACCAGAGAGAGGAGTTGTTTCTGTTTTCAATAGTTGCCAACCTTATGGCTGTAAAGTGTGTCCCTAAGACTTTGAAATTAGTTATATGCCAAGTCTTTCCCTTCTAGACCTTTTCTTCTTAATTCAATAGCAACACACACACTCAATGGAAAGATCTTGATCATAATATGGCAGCTCATGAGGATTCATGCTCATTACACTCTTCACTGTCCTTGCTGGTCAGTTCTTTGGTAAGCTGGTAAGGTGGTTGGTTGGGAAGGCAGGAATGGATAATATAAAACTACCTTCTCTCTCTAGTCCCGAGCCCTGGGGATGTGAAAGCACACTTCTTCCTCTTTTCTCCCTCTTCTATACTTTTAGGGGGTCTCTCTAAGCATTTAGGAAACATGTTGAAAAGAAACACGTCACATTACAGAAAAGATCAGCCTATTCTGATTCCATTAATTTTAATGGGAATGATCTTTCAGGAAACCTGTTCTGACTTGATCAAGGGCGCTTGGTCTAGGCAGATTCTCCACCTGGCATTCAGAACTTGACAAAAGGTGTGGCTGCTGAAGCAGAGAGGAATGACTCACACCTGCCCACGACTCAGCAGGGGCCCTACCCAAGGCGGGTCCCTTTCTCCTCCTTCTCCCTGTTTTTCCTCTGTCTGCTTCAAGCTCTCAGGCCTTCTCTGCTTCCAGGCACCCTGGGAAACAGTGGCTGAAATAACACAGGAATGAATCATCCCCACCTGACCAAAAGAAGGGAAGGCAGGAGCAGCTCTTGATTGAGTGAGTTTCAAGGCCCGAGTTCCCCAACTCACAGCCACGACAGCGTCAGAGCAGCTTCTGCTTCCACGGCATCTGGCTCCGAATCTGGACCAAAGCCAGCTTTCATTAGGATGCCAGTGCACGGAGGCAGCAAGCGAATGCTGTTAATTAGGTTTGGGGTGTATCCTGGCAATTTAAAGAATCACCCAGTGTTGCAATCATAGAACTGTGGCATTTTAGGGCTGAAACGGATTTCACATATACAATGTCATAGAACTTCAGAATTTAAATAACTGGCTCACCAGAGCCAATGGCTTCATTTTCAGGATATTTTCAAGCCGGTTTACTTCAAATTGGTAGTTTGAAATGGGCCTTTAGTGGGATTATTTACACCACAGAAACTGACAAACACTACAAATCAGGCTTATCTCCCCTCCCACTTCACTAAGAGCTGATTGTTAAAAAATGTACTAGCCCATCATTGACCTTGTCCAAATCCTTCATTTATAGATGAGAAAACCTCAGCCTAGAGACAGGAAATGACTTACCCAGGGTCATGCTATTAATTAGCAGCAGAATTTAGAATCCAAATCTTTTGCGTTCTTTTTTTTTTTTTTTGATACAGAGTCTCACTCTGTTACCCAGGCTGGAGTGCAGTGGTGCAATCTCAGCTCACTGCAACCACTGCCTCCTGGGTTCAAGCGACTCTCCTGCCTCAACTTCCCATGTAGCTGGGATTACAGGCACCCGCCACCACACCCAGCTAATTTTTGTATTTTTAGTAAAGACAAGGTTTCACCATGTTGGCCAGGCTGGTCTTGAACTCCTGACCTCAAGTGATCCACCTGCCTCAGCCTCCCAAAGTCCTAGACATGAACCACTGCGCCTGGCCTTTTGCATTCTATTTCAATGAGTGGATGCTGAAAGCATAGTCTGGTCACACCAGCCTAGAATCCTGTCAAAAAACAGAAGCAGGAGGATGTTATTGCACTATTAATAGGGAGTGAGGGACAAATAATTCCTCTGAAAATAGGTTCTCAGGGGAAAGAGACTGACTGCTATTAAACCCCTCCTGAAATTCCCTCTCATAGTTTAAGCTGAATATGGGGCAATGTTCTTACTATACTTAGGTGGAATGCAACAGGGAGATGCAGACACAATCGTGTATTTGTAATATCCTCAACAATTAGAGGCTTCTTTGCCCTTGAGGGGAAAAGTGGCATGCCCTGTAGGCTGGGGTCAACAGCGTGACCACAAGTAAGAAGAAACAAACTAGACTGGAAATACGTCATTTAGAATGGGTTATTGGACTCGCTCTATTGTCTTTGTGATAAATGTGAATTCAACACGAAAGCAAATTAACTTTGATGCTCGCATTTTCCCCCACAGTGTGATTTTTCTGTACTTGCACAGCTGAGCTCAAAGTTCTGGTTAGGACTTTTACAGGAGGATAAAAGTCAGGAAAGCATGGACACTTATAAATTAGAGCAGCATGCATGGTGGCTCACGCCTGGAATCCCAGCACTTTGGGAGGCCAAGGCAGGAGAATCACTTAAGGCCAGGAGTTTGAGGGCCAGCCTGGGCACCATAGTAAGACCCCATCTCTACAAAAAACTTGAAGGCTAGCCAGGTATGGTGGCTCAAGCCTGTAGTCTCAGCTACTGGGGAGGCTGAGGCAGAAGGATCACTGGAGCCCCGATTGAGCCATAGCACTCCAGCCTGGACAACAGAGCGAGACTGTCACCAAAAGAAAAAAAAAAATTAAAATGTAAGACAGGCAAGGCAAGGAAAGGATGGATGGAAGAGATGGAAACTCTAGTTAGAGGGTGCATTCCACCTTCTTAGGGTGGCTCTGGGGAGCCAGTATGAACCAGTTCCAGGACAATACCAGATAGGATCAATACCACATGTTATTTAAATTCTGAAGTTCTATGACATTGTATATGTGAAATCCGTTTCAGCCCTAAAATGCCACAATTCTATGGTTGCAACACTGGGTGATTCTTTAAATTGCCAGGATACACCCCAAACCTAAGTCAGAGGGTGCAGCCACAAGAGCTGACTCTCGGAAAGGTAAAGGGACAGCCCCACCCCACAGAGGGCAGCGAGCCTGCGGGGAATGATGGGGCCTCTGCTTCCATGTGGTTGAATCACCTGGACTAGTGAGACCTGAACAGGAGCTGGAGTGGCCAGGTTGCATGGGATGCAGGAGAAGGGAGGAATGGGCCAGATCTCTCCAGTGGGGCTATCCACGCCACAGCCTCCACACTCACGCTATAACCGTCTGCAGTTTGTCTGGTCCAACCTGCCCTACGATGAGTGAGCTCTGCCGAAAGCCACCAGCGTCCTTCTCGTCCTTTCCTAGAGGCTCATCTCAGTCCCAGCCTCCTCCACCGCGGCAGTGTTTGCTACACCTGGCTCCAAGGGAGAGCACTGCCTCCTTTCCCGCATGCCCCAGCTGCACCGCATGACTCGGTCCGTTACACACTGCAGTGCTGGTAGCTCTTTAGCCTATCACTGGGCTCTTGGCCCTGCTTGTAGTCACTGTCTCCTGGGAAGAGTGACAGGATTCCTGGTGTCCCTGACCAGGACAAGGGGTCATTCATGCTGGGCAAAGGAAGAGGGAGGCCAGGCCTGGACAGGCTGCCGTCTTGCCCAGATGCAAATGCCAGTTGTCAGAGCAGGGGCCCCTATGTGATGGGAGCAGAAAGAGGCCAGCGAGTGGAAGCCACCCCCTGAAGCAGGGAGCCCAGCCAAGAACTCCAAGGGGCCATACCAACTTCGGGCTGGGGTGTGAGGAACTCTGCTCCCTTTTGGAGGGAAACCCACGAGCCCCATAGAGTACCATGGCTGTGCTGGCAATGAGAACTGTATAGCCTGCAGATCTGATGTTTACTGTATTCTTTTGCTCTCTGTTGGCAATACTTAGAAAAGTCTTTGAAAGTTCCAGCATCTAACAGTAAGAGGGGAAAAAGAGGGAAAGGGTTGTATCTACTCTTGGCCAAAATACTAAAGCAGCAGCAGCTTGCTAAATAGTTAAGGTCCTGGTTTTTGTTTTTTTGTTGTTTGTTTTGTTTTGTTCTTGGGATGGAGTTTCACTCTTTTTGCCCAGGCTGGAGTGCAGTGGCATGATCTCGGCTCACCGCAACCTCCGCCTCCGGGGTTCAAGTGATTCTCCTGACTCAGCCTCCTGAGTAGCTGGGATTACAGGCATGCGCCACCACGCCTGGCTAATTTTCTATTTTTAGTAGAAACGGGGTTTCTCCATGTTGGTCAGGTTGGTCTTGAACTCCTGACTTCAGGTGATCCGCCCGCCTCGGCCTCTCAAAGTGCTAGGATTACAGGTGTGAGCAACTGTGCCCAGCTGTTTTGTTTTGTCTTTTTGAGTCGGAGTCTCACTCCGTCACCCAGGTTGGAGTGCAGCGGCACGATCTCAGCTCACTGCAAACTCCGCCTCCCAGGTTCAAGCAATTCTCCTGCCTCAGCCTCCCGAGTAGCTGGAATTACAGGCACATGCCACCACGCCCAGCTAATTTTTGTATTTTTAATAGAGACGGGGTTTCACCATGTTGGCCAGGCTGGTCTTGAACTCCTGACCTCAGGCAATCCACCCACCTAGGCCTTCCAAAGTGCTGGGATTACAGGCGTGAGCCACCACGCCCTGCCGGGTCCTGGGTTTTAAGGTGATTTTTGATTTATGCCACCTCCTCTTTGAAATCCCTCTCCAGACTTCTGAACCTTGGCACTGCCCTCATTCTCCTCCTACATCGCCTCAGTCACCTTTGATGCCTCCTTCTTCTCCTGCCCCAAAAACGGGCTGTTTGGCAAGGTTACGTCCTCTGCTGCCTTCCTGTCTCTTCACTCTGTCCTCCACAGTATCATCTGTTGTTCAAGACTTCAGCTGTAACCTTGGGAGGATGATCCCAAATCTAGCACTGACTTTCTCCAGACACATTGTCAACCTTCTGGGCTGCACTGCCTGGATAGGCAATGGTTGTCTTACCACAGTATTCCCCAAAATGAATTTATT
This sequence comes from Homo sapiens, assembly GCF_000001405.40. Classification (NCBI taxonomy): domain Eukaryota; kingdom Metazoa; phylum Chordata; class Mammalia; order Primates; family Hominidae; genus Homo; species Homo sapiens. The sequence continues at coordinate 7,501,407 of NC_000006.12, read as the reverse complement.
TCTTTCACCCCAAGCTCAAAAATTTCAGGATGGCCTTGGACTACCTCCCTACCCGCTTAGCCCTACCTCTAGTTATCAAAGCCTGTTGACTCTATGTCCCTGGTCCCTTTACACCCTCCTCTTTCCAATACCAGCATCCCCACCCAATCCAAGGGCACCTTACCTCTTCCCTGCATCATTGCAAAACCCTGCAAACTGGTCTCCCCACTTCCAGTATCTCCCCATTCTAAGCCAACCTAGATCCGTCCTGACAGCCTTCCGTCAGCAAGCCCAGCCCAGGATTTCTATGCCGCAAGCTCAAACACCTTTCCGGCCACAGATGGAGCGCCTTGACCAAAATATACGGTCAGTACTCCCTACACACAATCTCATGTTTCCCTACCTGTTTCTTCTCAGTAGAACACTCTCCATTGCAACCTCACCTGCTGAAAGCCCTTTGAACCGAATCCAAGGCCCTTTGTTTCTTTTCTTTTTTTTTTGTAGAAGGACTCTGGCCTTGTTGCCTAGGCTGGAGTGTAGTGGTGCAATCTCGGCTCACTGCAAACTCTGCCTCCTGGGTTCAAGCGATTCTCCTGCCTGAGACCCCTGCTGCCACCATCCCTACCACCCCCCACCCCCCGAATAGCTGGCATTACAGGTGCCCACCACCATGCCCAGCTAATTTTTGTATTTTAGTAGAGACAGGGTTTCACCATGTTGGCCAGGCTGGTCTCGAACTCCTGACCTCAGGTGATCCACCTGCCTCAGCCTCCCAAAGTGCTGGGATGAGAGGCATGAGCCACTGCACCTGGCTGCAAGGCCCATTTTAAAAGACACAGCACCCTCGGGGCCTTTCCTGGTACCCGCTCACGGCACCATGCTCCTGGTCTGGGGCACGTGTCCTCTTCTGCCATGTTCCACAGCAATGCCTGGGCTTGTTTTCTTTCACCTGCGCCTTCTTCCTTTCCCCCCACCTCTGGGAATGCCATGATCTCTCAGTTGTCCATGACACAAACTTAGAAATTGTTCTAGGTTCCTTCCTCTCCCTCCCCCTGCGCTCCAGTGCTCCCAAGTCTGCTCCTTAAATCGCCCCACTTTTTACCCCCTTCTGTTCAGCCTTCCTTTCCCTCCCTTGGCTCAGGCCACACTCATCCAGGGAGCTGGGGCAGGACTTCCCATGTGTCCCTGAGGTAGGCAGCCCCTTCCTGCTCACCCACTACCTGTGTGTCCTCAGCCTTTCCTCAATTGCCTCACCCGCAAAAGGGGATTTAAAAAACCACACACACTTGGGGAGCTGAGGAGGGAGGATCACTTGAAGCCAGAAGTTCGAGATCAACCTCGGCAACATAGACAGACCTTGTCTTTAGAAAAAATAAAATAAATTAGCCAGGCATGGTGGTGTACGCCACCTACTTGGGAGTCCTACCTACTTGGGAGGCTGAGGTAGGAGGGAGAATTCCTTGAGTCAGAGTTCAAAGCAGCAGTGAAATGTGATCATGCTACTGATCTCCAGCCTGGGTGACAGAGCAAGACCTTGTATTTACAAAATAAAAATAAACAACACTCTCAAAATTCATACACACACACACACACACACACACAAACACACACACACACACAGAGTATCCCTTATCTGAAATGCCTGGGACTAGATATGTTTTGAACTTTGGATTTTTTCAGATTCTGGAACATTTGTATATACAGGCATACCTCATTTTATTGCAATTTGCTTTTTTATGCTTCGCAGATATTGAATGTTTTACAGATTGAAGGTTTGTGGCCAACCCTGTGTCAAGCAAGTCTATCAGCGCCATTTTTCCAACAGCATATGCTCACTTCATTCCTCTGTCACATTTTGGTAATTTTTGCAATATTTCAAAGTTTTTCATTATTATTATATCTGCTCTGGTGATCTGTGACCGGTGACCTTTGATGTCACTATTGTGATTGTTTTGGGGCACCACAAGCCACGCCCATATAAGACAGTGAACTTCATTGATAAATGTTTTGCGGGTTCTGTGCTCCACCACCCGGCCTTTCCCACATCTTTCTCCCTCTCCTCAGGCCTCCCTATTCCCTGAGACACAACAATATTGAAATTAGGCCAGTTAATAACCTGACAATGGCCTCTTAAGTGTTCAAGTGAAAGGAAGTGTGCAAGTCTCTCACCTTAAAGCAGAGGCTGGTAATGGTGAAGCTTGGTGAGGAAGGCATGTCAAAAGCTAAGGTGGGCTCTTGCACCAGAGAGTTAGTCAAGTTGTGAATGCAAAGGAAAGTTCTTGAAGAAAATTAAAAGTGCTACTCCAGAGAGCCATGAATGATAAGAAAGCGAACAGCCTTTTGCTGATATGGAGAAAGTTTGAGTGGTGTGGATAGAAGATCAAACCAGCCACAACATTCCCTTAAGCCAAAACTAATCCAGAGCAAGGCCCTAACTCTCTTCAATTCTGTGAAGGCTGAGAAAGATGAGGAAGCTGCAGAAGAAAAGTTTGAAGTTACGAGAGGTTGGTTCATGAGGCTTAAGAAGCACAGTCATTTTCATAACATAGAAATGCAAGGTGAAGCAACAAGTGCTGATGGAGAAGCTGCAGCAAGTTATCCAGAAGATCTAGCTAATAGCATTGATGATTTAAATGGATTTTCAATTTAGACAAAACAGCCTTCTGTGGAAGAAGATGCCATCTAGGACTTTCATAGCTAGAATAGAGGAAGTCAATGCCTGGCTTCAAAGCTTCAAAGGGCAGGCTGCCTCTCTTGTTAGGGACTAATGCACCTGGTGACTTTAAGTTGAAGCCAATGCTGATTTACCATTTCAATAATCCTAGGGCTGTTAAGAATGAAGCTAAATCTACTCTGCCTGTGCTCTATACATGGAATGACAAAGCCTAGGTGACAGCACATCTGCTTACAGCATAGCATGGTTTACTAAATATATTAAGCCCACTGTTGAGACCCATTGTTCAGAACAAAAGATTCTTTTCAAAATATGACTGCTCAGTGACAATGCACCTAGTCACCCAATAACCCTGATGGAGATGTACAAGGAGATGAATGTAGTTTTCATGCCTGCTAACACAACATTCATTCTGCAGCTCATGGATCAAGGAGCTGCAATTTTCAACTTTCAAGTCTTAATATTTAAGACTTAATAATTTCAACTTTCAAGTCTTAATATTTAAGAAATACATTTCATAAAGCTATAGTTCCCACAGACAATGATTCCTTGGATAGATGAGGGCATAGCAAATTGAAAACCTTCTGGAAAGGATTCACCATTCTAGATGCCATTAAGAACATTTGTAGTTCATGGGAAGAGGCCAAAATATAACATTAACAGCAGTTTGGAAGAAGTTGATTCCAACCCTCATGGATTACTTTGAGGGATTCAAGACTTCAGTGGAGGAAGTCACTGCAGATGTGGTGGAAATAGCAAGAGAACTAGAATTAGAAGTGGAACCTGAAGATGTGATTGAATTGTTGCAATCTCATGAGAAAACTTGAACAGATAAGGAGCTGCTTTTTATGGATGAGCAAAGAAAGTGGTTTCTGGAGATGGAATCTGCTTCTGGTGAAGGTACCATGAACACTGTAGGGATGAGAACACAGGATTTAGACCATTACATAAACTTAGTTGATAAAGCAGTGGCAGGTTTAAGAGGCTTGACTCCAATTTTGAAAGAAGTTCTACTGTAGGTAAAATGCTATCAAACAGCAACATCTGCTAGAGAAATCTTTTGTGAAAAGAAGAGTCCATTGGTGTGGCAAATTTCATTGTGTCTCATTTTAAGAAATTGCCACAGCCACCCCAACCTCCAGTAGCCACCGCCCTGATCAGTCAGCAGCCACCAACATTGACAAAAGACCCTGCACCAGCAAAAAGATTATGACTCACTGAAGGCTCAGATGATTTTTAGCATTTTTAGCAGTAAACCATTTTAAAATTAAGGCATATACCTTTTTTAGACATAATGCTATTGCATACTTAATAGACAACAATATAGTATAGACATAACTTTTATATGAACTGTGAAACCAAAATATTTGTACCTCACTTTAATTGCTACATTTGCTTTATTGTGGTGGTCTGGAACGAAACCCACAATATCCTCGAGGTATGCCTGTATAGAACAAGATATGTTGGGAATCAGACCCAAATCAAAAAAGGAAATTCATTTATGTTTCATATACACCTTATATACATAGTCTGAAGGTAACTTTGTACAATATTTTTAATTTTGTGCATGAAACAAAGTTTTGACTGTGACCTGTCTCATAAGGTTTGTTGTGGAATTTTCTACCTGTGATGTCTTGGGTGCTCAATACATTTTGAATTTTGGAGCATTTTAGGTTTCAGATTTTTCGATCAGGATATATATATATATATCCCTGATCCAGAGAGAGAGAGAGAGAGAAATTACCATGTATAACAAGTACTAATAAAATTATAAATTTAAAACTCTTTTTGCGTGAGTTAATAAAATAAATTCCTAACTAGCCCCTGGCTGCCACAACACACAAATAAAATCCAGTGCCCACTACACCACCAATGAGTTCTATAAAAGACATAAAATTCTACAAATAATTTTTCTTTTAATGCTAATCAAATAAAATAGAACGTGCTTAGAATAAAATTGCGGTGGGGGATGGTTTTTTAGCTCTGTTCACGCGGCAGCCCAGCTTCCCCTGGTTGCTCCACCCACTGCTCTGACATGCCCCCTTTACCAGGACAGAAGTGTGCCCAGTTCTCCCGTGCGGCACGCCCTTCCACACGTCCTTCCACGTACTCGAGCCTCACACAGGCAGTTCTCACTCCCTCCCCTCCTCCCTGGCCCACCTCCACCTTACTCTCTACTTCCCACATTTACTAACTCCGTGTCACTCCAAGACACAACTCAACTGTCACCTCCTCTGAGAGGCCCCCTGACCCTCCTAGGCTGATGAGAGAGCCCTCTTCACTGTTCTGATTGTTCTCAGGACCCAGTGCATGCCATTCTTATGAGTGATGTGCCAGGCTGTCCTCCCTGTTGGTCTCCGGGCCCTTGCCTTGTGTCCACTGTGCTTAGCTGTGGACTTAAAATGTATAGACAGATAATAATTTTTTTACTAAGTAATTGAAGAAAAGAATGAACCCCAGCCCATTCTGTCTTTCTATCTGTCTATCTATCTAGAGAAATACATATAAAGCTCATTTAAGACCAGGGTTTGCTGGGCACAGTGGCGCTCGCACCTGTAATCCCAGCACTTTGGGAGGCCAAGGAAGGAGGTTCACTCGAGCCCAGGAGTTTGAGACCAGCCTGGACAACAAAGTGAGACCCCGTCTCTACAACAATTTTTTTTAATTAAAAAATTTTTTAATAAAACATTTTAAAAAGACCATGGTTAAATCTGACTCATATTTCCTGTAATATCTGCCAGTGGGTCTTACATGAAATAGCTTCTCAATAAATATTTTGTGGTTTAAAGAACAGCAAGGAGGATGTATGAAAAAGCGTGGTGGGCAGAGGAGACAACAGGCTGAGACGCAGGACCCAGATCAGTCCTGGAGCCTGGAGGAGTGTGTGCTTCATTGCAAGTGTAATAGGAAGCTCTTGGAGGGACTGAAGTCTAAAATGAACAAAATCAGATTTAAATTTTTTTAAAAGCCAGACATGTATTGTATGATTTCATTTATAGGAAATATCGATCAACCTCAAAACCCTCCCTAGGGAACTCCGGTCCTCTGTGTTCTTATTTATAAGATGAGGGTAGACCAGCTGACTCTAGGGTCACACTTAATTCTATGGGTTTTTTTTGTTCCACGTTAATAAAAAGCAATGCTTAAATGGGCTAAGGAATAGAACCTGGCATAGCAATCCCAGGAAAGGTACTCATGGTCTCTCCATCTCAGTGGCACTGTGATACAGTGCGAATAACCCTGAAGGTGTGGCCTCTTCCCCTGGGTTCAGTATTTACCATTGAAATTACCTTGAGAAAGTAATGAAATTCTTTGGCCCTTTGTCTTTGCATCTCTAAAATACGGGAGTTCTAGAAGGGGGTGTCTATGGTCCTTTTCATAGAAAGTTGGCATTCTAATCCAGCTTCACATTCTGAAGGCAACATAGAGCTTTGAATAAAAAAGATTCAGTCATGCTATAGGTTCCAGAAGTTTTAATAAAATTGATGTCATGGGAATTTTGCTATTAAAAAGACTGATGGGGCTGGGCACGGTGGCTCATGCCTATAATCCGAGCACTTGGGAAGGCTGAGGCAGGTGGATCACTTGAGGTCAGGAGTTCGAGACCAGCCTGGCCAACATGGAGAAACCCTGTCTCTACTAAAAATACAAAAATTAGCCAAGCATGGTGGTGTGCGCCTGTAATCCCAGCTACTCAGGAGGCTGAGGCAGGAGAATTGCTTGAACCCGGGAGGTGGAGGCTGTGGTGAGCCGGGATCGTGCCATTGCACTCCAGCCTAGGTGACAGAGTGAGACTCTGCCTCAAAAAAAAAAAAAAAAGACTGAGGGAAGAACATGGAATACTGTGCACATACTAAAAAGAATGCAGATTTGTAAGTACTGACGTGGAAGATGCTTATGAATATTGCTACATTAAAAAAGTTAGTTGCAGAATATGTGCATAATCATCTCATTATTTCCGTAAGAAAATGGCGTGTGCAGTGCACATAAATGCTGCTATTGAGGGTGGCCTGGCAAAGTAGTCTGTCTTCATCAGCTAGAGCTGCCATAACAAAGTACCACAGCCTGCGGGGCTTAAACAACAAAGATTTATTTCCTCAGAGTTCTGGAGGCTGGAAGTCCAAGATCAAGGTGTCAGAAAGGTTGGTTTCTCTTGAGGCCTCTCTCCTTGGCTTGTAGATGTCATTTTTCTCCCTCTGTCTTCACGTGGTCTTCTCTGTGTGTATGTGTCTGTGTCCTCATCTCCTCCTCTTAGAAGGACACCAGTCATATTGGATTAGGGACCATCCATGTAACCTCATTTTTAACTTAATAACCTCTTTAAAAACTCTGTCTGCAAATATAGTCACATTCTGAGATACTAGGGGTTAGGACTTCAACATACAAATTTAAGGGAGACTCGTTCGGCTCACAACGGTACCTATGCCTGAGGTGTAGTAGATGGTCAGAAAATAGTTGAAAAGCTGAACGAATGAGGCAAATGGGATTGCTTTGTTTGCAGGTGCAGTGGGAGGTTGGTGGGACACTAAAAGCAGACAAGATCAAGGAGAGCCTTGAGATCCAGAGACAGAAGTCCACAGCCTAGCTGTAGGATGCTCTTGAGCAAAGGAACAACATGCCATTGACATTGTTGCAGGCACATTTAACTGGTGTTCATTTGTCCTGGGGTTTGGAGCACAGTTGAGCCTGAGGGCAGGGAGATCAGATGAGAGACTAGTCAGTCATTCCAGGTATGAGGTGACAAGGGCCTTGACCAGGGTGGTGGCCTGGATAAAAGCTGGATACAGACGGGTGTGCCTGGCAGTTTTTCCAAACTCCTTCACCTGCTGATGTGTCCGTGAGAGCCACATTTCACCTTCACCTTGAGAACAATGAGTCCTATAGAAACTGGAAAGGCAGTGGCTGCCAGAGCTGGATAGGATGAGCTCCTAAGTCCCAGAACACCACAGTTCCAGACAACTCCTCTTGACTCAAGACCTTCTCAATTTGGCTCCACCCTGGCTCTGCAAGTGGGTCCTTTCTCTTCTCTCATATGAGTAGTTTACACTCAAACTGAGATTCTTACTGGTTCACAGAGGCATTAAATCCCCATTATGTCTTGGATTTTGTTTTCATCTCCTTTCATCACACTTCTTGCACCTACTAGAATGTCCTCTCTTCCGTACCTCTGGAAATCCATCCCGGTTTGTATACTGCCTTCTCCATGCAGCTCTCTGATGACTGCAGCTCACATGACACTCTCCCTCAGCTGAACCTCAATCACATGTATTGTCTATATCAGAAAACGCATCATGATATTGAATAATGTATCATGCACATGCTTTAGATATTTGGAACATTCATATGTCATGCAAACTCCCCCAGGAGATGGTAAACTCCTTGAGGTTATGAATTTAGGGCTTCTTGTGTACTGATGGTTACACTGCCCAACCCAGTACATATTAGGGGCTCAGCAAATTCATGCTAAGATGATAGCTAACACCCCATAGGTCCATGTAGGATTTTTCCCTTGGCCCAGGGAATGGGGTAGGTTGGCAAAAAGGTCAGAGATAGAATGCAATCATATTTATTCCACTCCATAGAAATAGCCCTTAAGTCCCAACCCCACTATCTCTCCCCTTATTCTCTTAATGCAGCTCAAAAAACCATTAGCCCCATATCAGAAAGGGTTCTTAGGCCTCCAAAAGGAGCTTGTTGATAAAGGAGTTGAGCAGACCAGGCTTTTGGAAGTCTGCACCTAAGGAGATGATTACCTTGTCCTGGGAGGCAGATAGGACCAAAACCAGTGATAAGAATCACACAGAGAGCCTGAGAGAGCTGGAGCCGGGGTGGCCTTTGGGGAAGGAGGCAGTTGTTCGAATGCTCTTTATGGGAAGAGGACAAAGAACAGTTGGAGGTATTTTTTGCAGAAATGTAAATGGTGGTCCTCAAATTCATATGGAATTGCAAGAGTACCCAAAGGGCCAAAAGAATCTCGAGACAGAAAAACAAAGTTGGAAGACTCACACATCCCAATTTCAAAACTTGCTACAAAGATATAATAATCAAAACAGTGTGGCACTGGCCTAAGGATAAACTTATGGACTAATGGAATAGAATTGAGAGTATAGAAATAAACCTGTGTGTCTATGCTCAAATGATTTTCAATGAGGGTGCCAAGTCCATTCAATGGGGGAAAGAAAAGTCTTTTCAACAAATAGTGCTGGGAAAACTGGACTTTCATATGCAAAAGAATGAAGTTGAATCCCTATCTTACACCATAAGCAAAAATTAACTCAAATGGATCAATGACCTAAATATAAGAGCTAAATCCATAAAACTCTTAGAAGAAAACACTAATCAATCATTACCTTGGATTTATTAGCAACGAATTCTTAGATATGACACCAAACCACAAGCAACAAAAGAAAACATAAATTGCACTTAAAAATTAAAAACTTTTGTGCACCAAAGGACATTATCAAGAAAGTGAAAAGACAACCAATGGAATAGAAAACATTTGCAAACCATATATCTCATAAGGGTTTAATATCCAGAATATATAAAGAACTCCTAACAACAATAAGACAAACAACCCAATTTAAGAAATGGGCAAAAGGATGGAGGAGACATTTCCCCAGAGAAGAGAGACAAATGGCACCAAGCACATAAAAAGATGTTCAACATCATTAGCCATTAAGCAAATGCAAACCAAAACCACAATGAGATACCACTTCACACCCATTGGGATGTTTATCTCATATACATAAGTAAGCATGCAGAGAATTACAAGTGTTGGTGATGATATGGAGAAATTGGAATGTGGTACATTGCTAGTGGGAATGGAAAATGGTGCAGCCACTGTGGAAAACAGTTTGACATTTTTCCAAACATCTAACATTGAATTACCACATGACCCAGCAATTCCACTCCTAAAGAATTGAAAACAGGGACTGAAACAGATATGTATATGTCAATGTTTGTTATGGCATTAATCACAATAGCCAAAAGCTGGAAACAACCCATGTCTATCAGCACATGAATCAATTAACAATATGTGGTATATCCATACAATGAAATATTATTCAGCCAAAGGAATGAAGTTCTGATCCATGCTACAATATGGATGAAACTTAAAAACATTATACCAACTAAAATAAGCTCGACACAAAAAGACAAATATTGTGTGGTTCCATTTATATGAAATATCTATAATAGGAAAGTTTATAGACACAGAAAGTGTAATATAGATTACCAGGGGCTGAAGAAAGGGGAGAATGGGGAGTTATTGCTTAATGCTTCCAGAGTTTCTGTTTTGGGTAGTGAAAAAGTTTGAGAAATAGATAGTGTTGATAGTTGTACAACATTGTGAACGTACTTAGCAGCACTTAATTGTACACTTTGGTTAAAATGGAAAATTCTATTGTATATATGTATTTTACTACAATAAAAAAAAATTTCCAAAAAATAAAATAAAAGGAGCATTGGCAGATACGAGGAAGAGATGGTTGCAAGGTGCAACATGGTTATGGTACTCTTTGGAATGGGATATTTTTTCAAAGAGTGAATGGTAATGATGAGCCTTTTATTCAGAGGATGTTTTGTGTTAGACACCAAAATATATCGAAATCCACAAAAATCATAGGTAGGAGAGATTCGCTCCAGTGAATACAGGAGTTGCAAGATTCACCCTTGGAATTAGGAAGCTAACCCCGAGGCCCTCTGGGCCACCCCAAGATGCCAAGATAATGCTCTCCAATGTCACTTTCTATGCCAAAGTTTTATAATTCTGGTGGCACTTACTTTGCCATGTTGAAGTCTTATATCAAATATGGGAATATAAAGAATGACCTCAGCTGACAAATGTCTGAAGCTGGCTTGGCTAGAAAATTGTTGATCTTCCAGCCTCTCTTCTGCAGAAAAAAAAGGCGGATGGGGGGAAGACATTATGTCTTGCATAGATAGCCCTTTTAATTTACTTTTTTGGATAAAATATGTCCGTTTCCTATTTTGTGGCATTATGAATTATGTTATCTTAAGAGAAAGCTCCATATAGTCATGTTATCTGCACACAAAGATTCAACTTAAAACTCTCCTCCTGGGGATGTTCAGGCATTTATAGCTGTACCAGAATCCCGCAGCCTTTGCACCCCCAGGGCACTGGCTCCAGAGTGCTACAGGATTTAGGACCCAGAGTGGCATGAGCATTGAGATCCTGTGCCTCTTAGTGCTTGGCACATAGTAGATATTCAAACTATGCTTGTTGAACTATAGAAAATCTCACTTCTCTGTGAGATGGAGAAAGGAGCATAAGCAGGTAATTTAAGGAGGAAAAAAATTACATCCATGGAATACTAATGAAGCTTAAGTTCAAGCTTCAGACAGGTACATTTTTAAAAGAGAGAGCATATGGTCCTTATTTATTACCAGCCTCTTCAAGTACCTCTGCAACTTCTTTGTTCTTTTTTTTCTATTTATTTAGAGAAGGTCTCACTCTGTTGTCCTGGCTGGAGTGCAATGGCATGATCATGGCTCACTGCAGTCTCAATCTCCTAGGCTCAAGCGATCCTCCCCCCGTGAGCTTCCTGAATGGCTGGGACTACAGGCACGCACCATCACACCCAGCCGTTCCTTTGTATTTTTAGTAGAGATGAGGTCTCGCTATGTTGGCCAGGCTGGTCTCGAACTCCTGGGCTCAAGTGATCCTCCCACCTTGGCCTCCCAAAGTGTTGGGATTAGAGGCAAGAGCCACTGTGCCCAGCCTGCAATTTCATTTGGATGATTTTAAACCTTCAGTTTGATCAGGAATTGATTTTCAGGGATATCCACTATTAAACTGAAGGGTAAGCTGCCTCCGAATCAAATGTGTCCTCAAATACTTTAGTGTCCTACATGAAATGGGCCTCCTGAGAAGCACAAATGAAAAGGCATAACTAATACATCATACTGGTTAAAATGTAAAAGAAGACCTTAAAATAGATATGTACTGGATGGATTTGATATGACAGCTAGTTTGGTTGGTTTTACTCTGGTTGCTTTATTCTGTTTAAATTGTATTAATCAAACATACCACAGAGCTGGCCCCAAATACTAATTGTTTAGAGACAGCCCTTGCAGAGAAGTGGGTTCAACTAGCATCACATCTGTAATTACACAGCATATTATATACTTCACAGGTATAATTTATTTTATGGCTTCATGCCATCTTATAGACAAACAAAGAATTGAGAAAATTTACAAGCTTTTCTGGGAGTGTCCACATAAGGGTGTAATTTTCATTCTAACAAATAACTAAGATGGGGATAATTCTACAAGTAGATTGCCAACCTGTTGGCGTACAATAAGTTCGGAAATTCCCTTCATGAATTTTTTTCTTTTAATATAAAATTGCAGAAACATTCATCACACCCACACATAAAAGGGATAGTCATAGTGTTGGAAATACAAACATAAAGAATATGGAGATTTTGTATTGAAGGAACTCACAGTGTAGTAAGGGAGACTGATATGCAAGAATGAAAATAGAGTCTGAAAAAGGCACACAAAAAAATGAGTAGGGGTTTGAGGATGGAAGACTTCCCCCAGGAAGACTTCATGGAGAAAGCTAAAGTCTAAGGTAGATATTGAAGAATGAATAAACATTTTCAAGGCATACAAAAGTTGGGAAGACATTCAAAGAAGAGTGAACAGCATGTGCAAAGGTACAGCATGGTGGGTTTGGGACAACTCCTTATATATCTATATCACTGTGACTGGAGAGTAAGTTAGTGGGAGGTGACACTGCAAATGTAGGAGCTGAACGTGGAATAAGGCATGAAATCTCTATATTTATCTTCCTCAGTAAGTAACAAAGGGACCAGGAACAGTGGCTCACACCTGTAATCCCAGTGCTTTGGGAGGCTGATATGGGGGGATGGCTTGAGGCCAGGAGTTGGAGACCAGCCTGGACAACATAGCAAGACCCTGTATCTACAAAAATAAAAAAAAAATTAGCCAGACGTGGTGGCACACATGTGTAGTCCCTGCTACTCAGAAGCCTGAGACAGGAGGATTACTTGAGCCTAGGATGTCACAGCTGTAGTGAGCTATGATCATGACACTGCATTTCAGCCTGGGTGACAGAGCAAGACCCTGTCTCTGAAAAAAAATTTTAATGTTAATAAAGGAAGCCACTGCACAGCTCATTAATCTTCACCTTAAAACGCACAACCTAAATTGCATTATCAGATTATAAAATAGGACTGAGATAGAAGGAGAAGGAGTGGTCCTAGGAAACACCAAACCAGTATCTTTTTTTTTTTTTTTTTGTTTGAGACAGAGTCTCACTATGTCACCCAGGCTGGAGTGTAGTGGTGCCATCTCAGTTCACTACAACCTCAACCTTCTGAGCTCAGATGATTCTCCCTCCTCAGCCTCCCAAGTGGCTGGGACTACAGGTGTGCACCACCATGCCCAGTTAATTTTTTGGTAATTTTGGTAGAGATGGGGTTTCACCATGTTGCCCAGGCTGGTCTTGAACTCCTGACCTCAAGCGATCCTCCCCGCCTCGGCCTCCCAAAGCGCTGGGATTACAGGCATGAGCCACCAGGCCTGTCCCTGAACCAAGACTCTTAAAGCTCAACTATAGACTCCAGAAAACCAGTAGCATAAGAATCTCCTTTGCCACCAGCCATCCTCAATTTTTAAAAATTGTCATTTGGCCGGGCGCAGTGGCTCATGCCTGTAATCGCAGCACTTTGGGAGGCCAAGGTGGGCGGATCACCTGAGGTCAGGAGTTTGGAACCAGCCTGAAAACCCTGTCTCTACTAAAAATACAAAAATTAGCCAGGCGTGGTGGTGGGCACCTGTAGTCCCAGCTAACTCTGGAGGCTGAGGCAGGAGAATAGCTCGAAACCAGGAGGCGGAGGTTGCAGTGAGCCAAGATTGTGCCACTGCACTCCAGCCTGGATGACAGAGCAAGACTCCATCTCAAAGAAAAAAAAAGTAGATACTATGGGGGCAGTTCCCTGATGGGCTTTGGTTGGCACCAGGGCCCTGCTGTTGGTGTTGTCCTGGGTCCAGACTGAAAAGCGCAGAGGCAGAGGAAGGGCTACAGCAGTTGGATGTGATGCACAAGGAAGAAGTTGTCTGGAGAGCTCACAGTTTTTGAGGCCGTAGAGTCAAGCCCCCTGCAGAGGGGAGAGTTTACCTCTTTCTCTAAGGATGGCTGCTGCCGGCAATTCTCATTCCACACCTGTCTCCTTCTGTGGCCCATGGACCTTTCTCTTCTAATGTCTTCCAGCATCATGTTTCTGCTACTCAAACCCTCAAGTGATGATTCCACACAAAGCTGCCTGGTGTTTATCATGGGCCGCGTGGAGAGCTCGGCCTCTCATTTCTTACTCTCCTTTCCCACCTCCCCCAAAAAGATTAGAAACTCCCTTGGATCAAAGCATGACAAAGTTCATTTGCACATTCGACAAATTATATCCTTTTGTAAAGTAAATACAATCTTAGGAGGGAGTCACAGCATCTAATTGAGGAAGGAGATGAGGAGGGAAGATAACATTGACAAACTCACCAAGTGCAAGACTCTGGGGTGAGTGCTCTGAATATATCATCTCACCTCATTCCCTCAACATGCCTGTGAGGTAGGTACTGTTAACCCATTTTACAGGTGTGGTACTGAGATCTCCAGCAGACATCCTTACTCTGCCGGATTTGAGCACAATGGTCAAATGGCAAGGCAAACATGTAGCACTGTAGGTATTTGATAAATGATGAATGGGGTTGGCTGGATCCTTGTCCTAATCAATTTGATAACGGTTTACCTAGTTTTTTCTGACCTCCCGCCCTCAGCCTGTTTTAGAACTCAAAACATATTTTATGGAGAACAGGAAGTTCCATGCACTATACTAGGCTCTTGAAAGGAAAAGTCAAGCTTTAAATGTTTTTATTTACATCCCACTTTCTCCCACAAGGGATTTAAAGTGATTTACCACAAAGACACCTATAATAACATGACTAAGCCCCGCGTGGTGGCTCACGCCTGTAATCCCTGCACTTTGGGAGGCTGACACGGGCGGATAACTTGAGGTCAGGAATCCAAGACCAGCCTGGCCAACATGGTGAAACCCTGTCTCTACTAAAAATAAATACAAATACAAAAATCAGCTGGGTGTGGTGGTGTGTGCCTGTAGTCCCAGCTATTCAGGAGGCTGATGCAAAAGAAATGATTGAACTCGGGAGGTGGAGGTTGCAGTGAGCAGCAGTCACACCACTGCACTCCAGCCTGGGCAACAAAGTCAGACTCCATTTAAAAAAAAAAAAGAAAGAAAAAAAGAAAAAAGATTAAATATAAAGAAGAATAAAACAAGCCAGGTGCAGTGGCTCACGCCTGTAATCCCAGCACTTTGGGAGGCCAAGGCGGGTGGATCGCCTGAGGTCAGGAGTTCGAGACCAGCCTGGTCCAACATAGTGAAACCCCATCTCTATTAAAAATACAAAATAAGCCAGGTGTGGTGGCGTGTGCCTGTAATTCCAAGGCAGAAGAATCGCTTGAATCCAGGAGGCAGAGGTTGCAGTGAGTCAAGATCAAACCTCTGCACTCCAGCCTGGGCAACAGAGTGAGACTCTGTCTCAAAAAAAAGAGAGAGAATAAAATAATAGAACCATGGATACCATAAACATAAGCAGTTAAAGTAAAATAAAAGCTAATAATAAAAGAGGGGAAAATACTATAAATGTGCAGGCTATAAGAATTTATATAGGCCAGGCACAGTGGCTTATCCCTGTAATCTCAGCACTTTGGGAGGCTGAGGCGGGCAGATCACTTGAGGTCAGGAGTTCAAGACCAGCCTGGCCAACACGGTAAAACCCCGTCTCTACTAAAAATACAAAAATTAGTCAGGCATGGTGGTGCGTGCCTGTAGTCCCGGCTTCTCGGGAGGCTGAGGCAGGAGAATCGCTTGAATCTGGGAGGCAGAGGTTGCAGTGAGCCGAGCTCATGCTATTGCACTTCAGCCTGGGCGACAGAGCGAGACTTGGTCTCCAAAAATAAAAAAAAAAAATAGAAAGCCTCCCAGGTAATTCTTATGTACTGCCAAGTTAAGAAGCACTGCTGTGGTGTATAATCTTAAGGCAATTCTTCCCAGATGAGGTAAAGTTAAAAAGGACTCTAAGAAATATGAGACCCAAATTCACGAAAACAGTCTCAAAAAAGAACAAAGTTGAAGGACTCATACTTCCTGATTTCAAAATTTACTACAAGTTATTACAGTAAGCAAGACAGTGTGGTACAGCATAAGGAAGATATAAAGATCAATGGAGCAGAATTGAAGTTCCAGAAATAAGCCCTTACGTTTATAGTCAATTGATTTTCAACAAGAGTGCCAAGATCATTCAGTGGGGAAAGAATAGGCTTTTCAACAAATGGTGCTGGGACAACTGGGTATCCATATGCAAAGGAATGATTTTGGACCCTTCTTTACATAATATACAACAAGTAACTCAAAATCAATCATAGACCTACATGTAAGAGCTATTATAAAGCTATATAACTCTTAGAAAAAAGCATAGGATTATACACCATGACTGAGTGGGACTTACCCCAGGAATGCAAGATTGGTTTAACAGTCAATATTTGATTAATATAATTACACTCTATAATTAGAATAAAATACAAAAACCACATGGTCATCTCAATAGCTGCTGAAAAATCATTTATCCAAATCCAATTTACATTCAGGATATAATCTCTCAATAAACTAGGAGTAAAAGAAAAGTTCCTCAATTTGATGAAAGACATTTATGAAAACCCCACTGCTAACATTATACTTAAAAGTGAAAGAATAAATATATAGTGAAATATTATTTGGCCTTAAGAAGAAAGAAAATTCCAAGACATGCTACAACATGAACAAACCTTGAGGACACTGTGCTAAGTGAAACCAGATAGACACAAAAGGATAAATATTGTCATTCCACTAATATGAGGTACCTAGGATAATGGAATCCATAGAGACAGAAAGTAGAAGGGTGTTTGCCAGGGGCTGGGGGAATGGGGAGTCTGTGTTTAATAGGTACAGAGTTTCAGTTTGGGGAGATGAAAAAGTTCTAGAGATGGATGGTGATGATGATTACACAGTGTAAATGGACTTAATGCCGAGAACTGCACACTTCAAAATAGTTAAAAGTGTACATTTTGTTATGTATATTTTACTACAATTTTTTAAATAATAAGATAGTGAAAGATCAAATAGTTTTCCTCTAAGATTGGGAACAAGGCAAGGATATCTGCTCTCAGCATTTTTATTCAGCATTGTACAGTAAATCCTCATGTAATGTCAATAGGCTCTTGAAAACTGTGACTTTAAGCAAAGTGACTTATAACACAATCCATTTTTTTTTTCTCATCAATGTTATTACATTGAGGCCGGGCACAGTGGCTCATGCCTGTAACCCAGGCACTTTGAGAGGTAGGGGTGGGAGGATCGCTTGAGCCCAGAAGTTCAAGACCAGACTGGGCAACAATGCAAGACCCTGTCTCCACAAA